>NC_000001.11:234365939-234517454 GCF_000001405.40 Homo sapiens
ACCACCATGTGGCCCCATATTGGTGGTAGGGACTGAGTGTTGAATACGTGAATGTTGTGAATTAATTAAGAAGAAAAGAGTTGAGAGTTGTTTTTAATCAAGGAACAGTAGGCTCTAATGATAGAGAGACCTCCTCACCTCTTTCCCACAAACCCCCATCCTGCACCCTATGTTCCAGGGATAGTAAGCTGTTCACTGTTGTCAAGAGACTGGTTCTGCCCTATCTCTGGACATTCGTATTACTGCTTGCTTTGCCTGGAAGGGAAGGGAAGACATTTCTGACTGAATCAAAAAGTGATTTAGAGGAGTAAATATAAAGAAGTTTTAGGAATACCTTAATCAATTTCTGCTTTTATTTTCATTTTAATGTATTTAAAAGTATAATACAATGAAAATAATCCATGCCTAAATATGTCTAAATAGGTTTTAATGTTTAAGATAAAAATCTTAGGTAGGGCTGGGCTCACATCTGTAATCCCAGCATTTCGGGAAGCTGAGGCAGGTGGATCACTCGAGGTCAGGAATTCGAGACCAGTCTGGCCAACATGGAGAAACCCCACCTCTACTAAAAATACAAAAATTAGCTGGGTGTGGTAGTGGGCACCTGTAATCCCAGCTACCTGGGAGGCTGAGGCATGAGAATAGCTTGAATCCGGGAGGCGGAGGTTGCAGTGAGCTGAGATCATGCCACTGCACTCCAGCCTGGGCAACAAAGCAAGACTCTGTCTCAAAAACAAAAAGAAAAATCCTCGGTAATAAAAAGCATTGTGTTATACTCAATTTGGCAATGTTTTTTCTTTTCTTAGTCGTATATAAAATAATGGTGCAGGCCGGGTGCGGTGGCTCACGCCTGTAATCCCAGCACTTTGGGAGGCCGAGGCGGGCGAATCACAAGGTCAGGAGATCAAGACCATCCTGGCTAACACGGTGAAACCCCGTCTCTACTAAAAATTCAAAAAATTAGCCCGGCGTGGTGATACGCGCCTGTAGTCCCAGCTACTCGGGAGGCTGGGCAGGAGAATGACTTGAACCCGGGAGGAAGAGGTTGCAGTGAGCTGAGATCGGGCCACTGCACTCCAGCCTGGGGGACAGAGTGACACTCTGTCTCAAAAAGAAGAAGAAGGAGAAGGAGAAGGAGAAGAGTGCAACTTATGATGAATGCATCTTAGATGAGATGAAACATTTTTCTGTTTATAAGACTTCTCTTCCTTTAAGTCTAAGATAAAGTGACTTCTATAATACAGTAATATTAATAATTAACATTTTCTTTTTTCTTTTTCCTATAACACTTACCTAACATACTACATATACTTTATTTGTTATGTCTATTGCTTATTGTCTCCCTGCTAAAATGCACATTCCATGAGGGTAGGAATTTTTATCTATATGTTCTCTGATGTCTCCTAAGCCCCTAAAACAGCACATAGTAAGTGCTCTCTCTCTCTCTGTCTCTCTCTCTCTCTCTCTCTATATATATATATGTGTGTATGTTGAATGAATGAAATTTTTTAATGTGCTAGACACTCTTCTAAGTGCTTTGCATGGCTTGTTTCATTTAACTTTCACAAGAAACCTAAGGTCTATATTACCACCCACATTTTCAGTCGAGGGAACCAATGTATACAAAGATTCAGTAACCTGACCAAGGTTGCACAGCTTGACACTGGAGGAAATAGAATTCAAGTGTAGTCTGCCTCTGAACACAATACTCTTCTCCATTCCACTGTGCTGTTTCTAATACCACCTGTGTTCCCCTTTTTGAGGTCTCTTGGCAAACTCCTGTTCTGGACACCCATTGCATTGGATGCCTGCCTCTATCATAGCTCTTATTGCCCTTTATTAGAGGATAATATGGTCCATGTCCTCCACTAGACTGAGCTTCTCAAAGGCTGAGACCTACCTTATTTGTCTTTTTTGAGACGGAGTCTCGCTCTGTTGCCCAGGCTGGACTGCAGTGGCACGATCTCAGCTCACTGCAACCTCCGCCTCCCGGGTTCATGCCATTCTCCTGCCTTAACCTCCTGAGTAGCTGGGACTACAGGCACCCGCCACCACGCCTGGCTAATTTTTTGTATTTTTAGTAGAGACGGGGTTTCACCCTGTTAACCAGGATGGTCTCAATCTCCTGACCTCATGATCCACCCGCCTCGGCCTCCCAAAGTACTGGGATTACAGGCATGGGCCACTGGCCTCTTATTTGTCTTTATCCCCAAGGCCAACCATGGAGGCTGGCACTGCACAGATGCATAATGTCTGTGAAATGGATTGGCTATGTAAATACAGAGCAGGGAGCATAAAAGAGAACTGGAAGGCTTCTAACGGGAAGACAAAGGACTTGTGGAACTGATGAAAAAGAACAGCTTAAGAAGAGCAGCGCTTCTAGAGAGAAAATATCGAGTCCAGTTCTGAACGTCTTGGAATGATGGAAAGATAAACAAGTGAAGATATCCAATAGGGATGTGGAACAAGAAAACTGTCACAAAGGTTCTTTTAAGGACCAAAACATAGTCTTGCAAGTCTTTGTGACAGAAGTGCTAACTGAAACTATCAGAGTGAATTGACTCACCAACTAAAACAATGCAGAGAGAGAGAGAGGAGAGCAAGAGAGAGAGAGAAATGAAGGGACAGCATCTTGGCGTATACCTATAGTTAAGGGGGTTGAGGAAGGCAAGGAGACAGCACAGAGATCTAGAAGAAATTCAGAAGATCGCTGTAGCAACACTGAAGTCAAGGGAATCGTTCTCCGGTCTGTGCCCGTGAGTAGGTGTCTGTGATAACTGCTTTGTAACAGTACAGATTATAAATAAAAGTCTGTGGGCAGCAACAGAAAAACAACACATACATTTTCAGTGCGACTGGGTCTGTCTGGCCCTGCCCACCAGTGGTTTGGGGATCTACTTCGTTCCGACTAGAGAGCACCCACTCAAAATTTCCTCTGGATGGCAACCCAGCACAACACGTCTTCCACCTCTTCACACTGACTCCTCCTCGCCTCCTCTCTCCTCCAAACATAGGCTGGGTGATTACACCCTCTTTGTGTCAAAACAGCACACTTGAAATCATTTTATGGCACCCACATTGTTCCATTTTAATCTTTAAGATTTTGTAAGGTGAAATGGTCTTTGCAATTGTTATCCTGTGTTAATTTTCTTTTTCTTATTGACACCACAAAATTCCTCTCTTCTAGTTTGTTTTTGCTCTGTTAGTAAAACCAGCATTTCCCAACTGGCGAACTAGACTTCTTCAGGGGTAAGGTGGGGAATGTTATTGCAACTCACTACATCTCTCTGGTAATATCTTCCTTGTCTATCCCTTAAGCTTACCACAGACCACTAGGAATTGCTTAGGTGCACGGTGGCATTTAGCACTAGAGACCACTAACTTTTGACCTCGAAGAGCACTTAAGATACTAAATTCATTAAAAATTTAGTAATAACACTACAAATATTCTGTGTGACCACTATTTTTACCTTTCTGTAAATCAAATTTATTAAAGATGACCTTCCTCAGGTCAATTACTCATTTTATTTGTTTAGAAATTGTGAGATATACATTCCTATGGAAAAGTGAATAAAACATATATGTACAGTTTATTTAAAGAATAATTATAAAGCGAACACTCAGGTCCATAAATAAAACATTCTCCGCATCCCAGGAGCCCCACCATGTGCCCCTCCCTGATCATATCTCCTTTCTTACCCTAGAGAGGAACATTTGTGATAATCATTTCTTAGCTTTTCTGTATAGTTTTACTACTTATGACTGTTATTTTAAACAATATAGTAGAGTTCTGCCCGTTTTTGAACTTTATGTAAGTGGAAATATTCTGTATTCATTGGTTGTCTCAGTATGGCAATTCACCATGTTATTGTAAATAATCGTTTGTTTCTCTTTGTTGCTGTATTATATTTCACAGTATGACTATACCATAATTTATCCATTCTATTGTTGATACAAGTTTGAGTTGCATAATGGTTTCAGCTATTAAAAAAATGCATATGTACAGGAAATTCTGTAGAGTTGCTGAGTCACAGTGAATGTGTATCTTCAATCTTACTAGATAATTCAATCTTACTAGATAATGCCACACTGTTTTCCCTGATTGTATCAACTTATGCTACCACAGTGTATGAGGATATTCCTTGCTTCTTCCTTAAAACTTGTTTCTGTCAGACTTTTAAATTATTTTTTGATCTGCTGGGTGTCTAATAGTACTGCATTGTTATTTTCATGTTCCTTTCTATAGTTACTAATGGGAATGTTGGTCCTTTCATGTATTAGTCATTTGCATTTGGTGCTGTGCCTATTTAAGCTTTTTGCCCATTTTCAAAATGGGCAAGTCTATTTCTTATTGATTTGTGTTATTTGTATATTCTGGATACTAATCCTTTTTCACTTGCTTCATGGTATTGTTTGGTAAACAAAAGTCCATTACTTTTATGTAGCCCAATATTTTTATGTATGTAACACATCTTTTTTTTTTTTTTTTTTTTTTTTTTTTTGACGAAGTCTCTCCCTGTTACCCAGGCTGGAGTGCAATGGCATGATCTCAGCTCACTGCAACCTCCGCCTCCTGAGTTCAAGCAATTCTCCTGCATCAGCCTCCTGAGTAGCTGGGATTACAGGCACACACCACCATATCCGGCTAATTTTTTGTATCTTTATTAGAGACGGGGTTTCACCATGTTGGCCAGGCTGGTCTCGAACTCCTTACCTCATGATCCGTCTGCCTCAGCCTCCCAAAGTGCTGGGACTACAGGCGTGAGCCACCGCACCCGGCCACATCATTTGATAATTACTGAGACTTTCCTTTATGGCTAAAAATTCCTCTTAACCTAAGTCATAAAGATTTTTTCTTATATAGGTCCACATAACTCACCTGAAATCCCTGGAGCCAGATGTTTGAAATATAGACTATTTTAAATATTAGAAGGGTAGTATGAAACATACAACATATATTGTATAATATTCTCAACAAGAACTGGGACAGTACCCATAATGAAATACATTAATATTTCTACCGAAAAGCATATGCAGTCACCTAAGTGATAATAACAACTATAAAGAGCCTCATGTTACTTTAAGTCGTATTTTTCACCAAATGAGTTCCAAAGTGTGTGGTGTTTCAGAGGTTTGGGGATTTTATAATTAGTACAAAAGTTATGGTAGCCTTATTCAGTAAGAATGGAATGATTTCAAAGTTTGTAGGAACTTACTGGTGGAGCCACGTACCTGGGATTTGTGTGTATGAAGATTCTTCACTACTCATTCAAATTATGTAATAGTTTCTCTACTTTTGAGTTGTTTTTCTTGAAGTTTGTACAGTCATCTAAATCTTATTTGCACTAAATTGTTTACAAGATTATCTAACTTTTTTGATGTCTATAGTATTTCTAGTTTCCATTCTTGATAAAGATTGTTGACATCCCTCCTTTTATAGCTATTAGATGTTTGCCAATTTTAATTTTTCTTTTCCAAAAAAAATCAACTTTTGGCTTCTTTCAACCTATTCTATGCTGTGGTGTGCTAGTGAGTTAGCTCCAAACATAAAATCCTGGCTTGTTGATTTCCATAGTGTAAACAGTCCCATCATGGTTGACTTCAAGCTACTTATTTGAATTGGCTCCAAACATAAAACAAAATCCTGGCTTGTTTGTTGAGTTCCATAGTGTAAACAGTCCCATCGTGGGTGACTTCAAGCTACTTATTTGATGTTATTGATCATGGAGTTGCCAAGAGGTGTGCACAATTGGCTCTCCTATGCCAGTACAGGCTGGCTCTGGTACACCACTGCTTTTATTTTCCATTTCGTTAATTTCTGCTCTTAACATTATTTCTGTCCTTCTATTTTCTGTCTTATTTTGCTGTCCTTTTTCTAACTTCTTGAAAAGGGATTTTCAGCTCAAGACTTTTCAGACTCTTCTAATACACTTACTTATGGCTATAAATGTCCCTGTAAGTGCTGCTTCAGTTTCATCCCACAGGTGTTGCTATTGTTATTTTATGGTTCAGTTCAAAATATTTTCTCAATACCATTGACTCTGTCTCTGTGTTATTCAGGCTTGTTTTTACAGTTCTTTATTGATTTCTATCTTAAATGCACTGTAGTAAAAAATGACAATTATTTCAATTTTCAAAATTTCTTGAGTTGCTTTATAACTAAGTATGTGGTTGACTGTGGTGATGTGTCTGCTTTCAAAAAACTGTACATTCTGATTTTGGTCGTGTTGTTCTGTACATATTAATTGCGTCATTTTTACATCATGTTATTCACGTTTCCTATATCCTTAACTTTTCTCTTGCTAGTCTTAACGATTAGTGAGAAAGTCCTGTTAAAATTACCCAATATGACCAGGCATTTTTTTTCTTTGTAATTCTGTCACTTCACTTTGTTTCATATGTATTTTTCATTAGGTACTTATAAATTTTAAATTTAAAACACATTTCCTTTTTAGACTCAGAAGTCATCTAAGACTCTTTCCTTTCATTCCTTTTATATCCCATCAGTCATATTTAAAAGATATCTATATGTAAACTGACGTCAATAGACATGATGTAAAAGAAGGGGGTGGCTCTGGTAAAGCTAAAGTAACTCCACTATGAGAGTGCATTAACTATGGGGGAAATACTTTCTATATTGCAGAACACATATTTGGTGGTACGTAGCCTCACATCGCCACCCGGAAAAGTCTGCATATATTGAATTTGGAATGGATCAAACTGCACTGAGTGCAAAATTGTAAATTGCATCTTATATAAATGTTTTAGAACTAGATGATGGAGCAGATGGGATCTATTAAGAGAACGGGGTGCCAGATGACTGACCATAAACATGCTTTTTAATAAAGACTCTGCTGAGAGATTAACTCATATATTTTCTAAAATTTTTATTTCTTGTTCATTTTGTTTCTAAGATATTCACTCACATATTAAAAATAACAACGTCTCAAAACATTTGAAGCAACTCTCTTCATCCCTTTTAAAAATACCTTGCTGTTTCGGGGGTTAAAAAAAGCCACAAGGGAGATTAAAACAATACAAATATTTATTTTCCCAACTCCCCTGCCATGGGTTCTGGGACGTCACCGCCTCTTTCTGGGGCCCGTTTCATCCTTTTCTTTTAATCCAAGAAGCGATGGTGTTGTGCGCCTGTAGTCCCAGCTACCTGGGAGGCAGGCTGAGGTGGGAGGATCTTTTGGGTCCAGGATTTTGAGGCTGCAGTAAGCCGTGTTCTCACCACTGCACTCGAGACTGGGCGGAAGAGCGAGACACTGTATCAAAAACAAAACAAAACAAAACGAGAAGGCATCGCGGCTCTGTAACACTCCGTCCAGCTCTCGCACTCTCAGATGCAAACTTCCACACAAACTCCTCGGCTCGCCTTGTCCCGCGGGACTAGCATATCAAGCCTTCCGGGACACACCGTGCGATGATATATACGTATATACCCCTCTTGCCCTTGAAGGCCGGAAGTCGGTCTTACAGATAAAAGCGAAACAGGAAGTCCCGCCCCTCTATGGAAAGTAAATGGTAGCTCGGAAGGGTCAAAAGAGTCCGCGGTTTCGCCGCGTGAGTTGCTTTTTGCGGCTGGGGAGGTCTACGCTTCTAGAGCTTGAGCCAGCGGGGCGACCCTGCAGTGGCAGGACTCGGCACCGCGCCCTCCACCGCCGGTTGGTGGCCTGCGTGACAGTTTCCTCCCGTCGACATCGAAAGGAAGCCGGACGTGGGCGGGCAGAGAGGTCGGCTTGCTGATGGGTCCGGGTGGGGCGCGCGTGGACTATGGGCCCGGGAGGTCCCTTACTGTCCCCGAGCCGCGGGTTCCTCTTGTGCAAAACGGGGTGGCACTCCAATCGCCTGCTTGGTGATTGTGGCCCCCACACACCTGTTTCTACAGCGCTTAGGTTCGAACAGTAACCCTGTAAACTAGGCACTGCTGTCCCCGCTTTACTGGTGGGAAACGGGCTCGGAGAGAATAAATGAGCTGCCCTAAGCGACTGGGACAGAACCACAGTTCTCAGCCGGGCTTTCTGAGCCCACGCTGCCGCCCCAGCAGGGATCAAATCACACAGTGTGAGATAAGCCTCAAGAGCGGGTGGCCTTATGCTGCCACTGAGAACTGATTGGGTTCAGTTGCCTCATCAAAATCCCTAAGCATGGTTTTGTTTTGTTTTTGTTTTTTTTTTTTTTTTTAGTTTTAAAGGAAGAGGAGATTGACGGTTTTCCTCTTTCCTTATCTTCTCTTCAGATTACAAAGTTCATTGTTAATCTCAAATATTATTTTGGCCAACAGCTTCATCGCAGTAGGAATGGCAGCCCCATCTATGAAGGAAAGACAGGTCTGCTGGGGGGCCCGGGATGAGTACTGGAAGTGTTTAGATGAGAACTTAGAGGATGCTTCTCAATGCAAGAAGTTAAGAAGCTCTTTCGAATCAAGTTGTCCCCAACAGTGGGTAAGTCACACTTTGATGTGTTTCTCTTCCCTGTTAAGATACATCGAGCTTATACTGTGAGTGGTAGGCTGACATGAAGCGCTCTCTGAGGCATGTCAATTAACAGTTTCTTTGAGGCGCAGAGAAAACCTTGCCTGGTAATTCAGCCTTATTTGACGCACTTACATCAGCTAGATCTTTGGAGAATGTCAACTGACACATTAAAGAGCATCGAAAAACACAACAAACATATGAACAGTAACCAAAAAATTCCAGTTCATTTCACTGGTAGACTTTTCCAGGATCTTCTGAAGGGGTAGTATTTAATCTTGGGCAGGAGTTGGCAAAATTATTGACCTAGAGCTACTATCAGAAATAAAGCATTCCCAGTTGCTCACCCAAAAATCCTGTAAGTCATCATATACCCAAAATATAAAGAAAGGAGTTTGGTAAGCAGAAGAAAGAAAAGGTTCATATGGTGGATTCTGTCTCCCTGACAGGCATTCAAGCGCTGTATCCCCTGTCCTTAGTATAAGGGGGGATTGGAAAGAGGACTATTACTGAGGTTAGTAAGTGGCCATGTGTGCTAAGTGCTTGACATTTTCATCTTCACCAGTACCTGTTAAGATAGGTGTTGTTGGCTGGGTGCGGTGGCTCACGCCTGTAATCCCAGCACTTTGGGAGGCTGAGGCGGGCAGATCACGAGGTCAGGAGTTCAAGACCAGCCTGGCCAACATAGTGAAACCCCATCTCTACTAAAAATACAAAAAAAAAAAAAAAAAAATAGCTGGGCATGGTGGCACATGCCTCTAATCCCAGCTACTCAGGAGGCTGAGGCAGGAGAATTGCTTGAACCAGGACCTGGGAGGTGGAGGTTGTAGTGAGCCAAGATCACGCCACTGCATTCCAGCCTGGGCCACAGAGCGAGACGTTGTTATTCTCTATCTCCAGAGGAGGCAGCTGAAGCTCAGAGCATTGAAGTAACTCGCTTGTTATTACTCAGCAAGTGGCAAAACTGTAATTTTAAGGCAGGCCTAACTGGCTGGTGTGGGATTTGAACTTGGATTTGCCTGTGCTTTTTCACTGTCTTATGCTGCTGCAAAATATACCATGTAGTTGGAAAACAGATACTTTTAGAGTTGAAGTGGTTTTAGGGGTTTTGCCCTCTCATACCTCAAACCTTTAAAAGGCTCTGAAGGAGGCTACAAGAAGGCTGTGATGCAGGGAGGGGTCGTATTGGTGGCTGAGCTGGGGATGAACACAGTGAACAGAAATTACTTTATTTTTCTTTCTTTAATTTTTAGAGACAGGTTCTCAATCTGTCACCCTGGCTTGAGTGTAGTGGCGTGATCATAGCTCACTGCAGCCTTGACCTCCTGGCCTCAAGCAATCTTCCCGCCTAAACCTCCTGAGAAGCTGGCACTATGGGCATTTGCCACCATGCCTGGCTAATTTTTAAAATTATTTTGTAAAGACAGGATCTCACTATGTTGCCCAGGCTGGGCTCGAACTCCTGGGCTCAAGTGATCTTCCCACCTCGACCTCCCAAAGCACTGGGATTAACAGGCGTGAGTCACCACGTCTGGCCAGGCATTGCTTTAGATGAACTCTTCATCTGTAAAACCAGCCTGTTACAACCTATCTCGTGGGATTGTTATGACAACAAAATGCATAACTTGACATGTAAACTGAAAACTGATCAATGTGGGACTCTATGATTGAATTAGATAATGACTCCAGAAGAAAATATTATACATCTGTAGTTTTCCCATTAGACAGATGCATTGAGAGGAACTCCAGGTTTAAGGAGTTCCCCTTCGATCCCACTTTTATCCTCTCTCTCCTCCTGCAACCCACTGCTTTTTCTCCAGCCTGATGGCTCCCACTCCCACACTTCCGGGGCAGCTTCCAGTCTGTGTGCCAGAAAGGGTTTTTACAACCAGCCATTTGGTTCTTGATCGTATGTACATCTCTCTCACTCAAGCAGACTGGGTGCCATCCCCTGAGGCCCCAACCTCTCTCCAGGTCACTGCGTCCTAGTCACCGCTAACATGAATTGAGTACATCCTCTACACTCTACACTCTACACACTTGAAATGTGTCATCTATCTTATTTATCCCTCGTGGAACTCTCTTAGCGGTTTTATAGGTAAGGGCACATTGACATGAAGTCACCTGTAGTAACAGAGCCTGGATTTGAACTCAGTAGTCTGATTCCAGACCCCACATACTTCTTCCTATGCCTACCATGCAAGAAAAGGATCCATGAAAATAGCTTGCACAAGTCTCATGTAGTTCTAGAAACTGAGTTATCATTCAGGTCTACTTGAATACAAAAGCCCTGTCTCCTTGGGTCTCTTTACGGTTCTCTCACCCAGTTCCTTCATTCGCGTCTAGCAGCCGCTGCTCTTTGGAATGCCTTGCTGTGAGTCTTAAATGCCCGTGTTCATTAGAGCTCCCTTCTCTGCTACTCACTCGACCAAGGCAATCCTGTTTACAGCCATGGCTTGAAGTCCCAGCTTATGTGTTGATGCCTATCTTAGCCCAGGCTGTCATAACAAAATACCTTAGAGAAATTTATTTCTCATAGTGTTGGAGGCTGGAGGTCCGAGATCAGCATGCCAGCATGGTCAGTTTGTGATGAGGGCCCTCATCCTGGCTTGTAGACAGCTACCTTCTTGCTGTGTTGCCGAGAGAGAGAGAGAGAGAGAGAGAGAGAGAGAGAGAGAGAGATCCAGTCTCTGTCTCCTCTTTTTTTGTTTTTTTTGTTGTTGTTGAGACAGAGTCTCACTCTGTCACCCAGGCTGGAGTGCAGTGGTGTGATCTCAGCTCACTGCAACCTCTGCTGCCCAGGTTCAAGCAGTTCTCCTGCCTCAGCCTCCTGAGTAGCTGGGATTACAAGCGCCCGCCACCACACCCAGTTACTTTTTGTAGTTTTAGTAGAGATGGGGTTTCACCATCTTGGCCAGGCTGGTCTTGAACTCCTGACCTCTTGTTCCACCCGCCTCAGCCTCCCAAAGTGCTGGGATTACAGGCATGAGCCACTGCACCCGGCTCTTCCTCTTCTTATAAGGACATTAATCCCATCAGGTTAGCAGGGCCCACACTCATGACCTGCACCCAGTAGGCCTCTCCTCCCATGCTTCCAGCTTCAGTGAAAGACACCAGCATCAACTTAGGACCCGGGACCTGCGTGTCACCCTCGACTGAATTATTGGAGTGTTCTCAGGAGGGAGACTAGGTAAGTTAGGGCTGTGAGCTCAGCTGCTGTCCAGCTTCACTCTGATCCTTCTGGAAGCTCTGGAGTGTAAATTGCACCATATTTCATGGCTTTTGTGCCTGCCAGTCATTGGCATTGGCTGAGGGGCAGGTCTCTGGAGAAGGGGGCAGCCATCTGCTGTTAGCCACTGCCCAGCACAGCGGGGAGTGCGTGCATGGGTCTGCAGAGGGAATCTGGACAGAGGCCCAATAGTGGCCATTACCTCACCTGTCCAGATGCAGGCAGCATGAAGCTACCACAGCACCCCCACATGGGGTGTGTACCTATAAAACTCACCCGTAGAACCGCAGAGCTGAGTGCAAGCTCTCTGTAACCAGTCTTGCTGCCAGGGGGTGAAGGAGAGGAATGACCGTGTTCATCATCAGTTAAAGCACTTGTGTTGTCTGGGGAAGGAGTATGACAGTTAATGGATCTAGAGCGGAGACTCAGTGTTCCCCTTCTGACAAGAAAAGTACATTCACGTGTTTTGTAAAAAGCGTATTTATTAAAGTTCAAGAACACATAACCTGCCCATTTTAATGGAATGATAGAGAAAAAAAATCACCCAAATATAGATGATGGCCCTACTTCAGCTCCATGGTCATTTTTTTGGTGCATATCCTGTTCATTTAGTCATTCCACAAATATCTATTGAGCACCTCCTATGTGCCATAGGAAAATACAGCAAGGAAAAATAGACAAAGTGCTCAGCCCTCATGTAGCATACATTCTAGTATGGGGAGAGAGACAAGTAGTAGAATTAAAAGGATGTTATATGGTGATAAGTGATAGGATGAAAAATCAAACAAGGGTACAGGTTTAAGTAGGATGGTCAAGAAAGGTTTTATTTATACAGTAACTGTTTTCACAAAGTTATGAAAAAAGTTAGGGAACAGATAGGCAGATACCTGGTGAAGACGATTCCAGGCAGAGAGAATGAAACAGCCAGAAACCTGCACTGATGGGCCAGGCGCAGTTGCTCATGCCTGTAATCCCAGCACTTTGGGAGGCCGAGGTGGGCGGATCACCTGAGGTCAGGATTTGAGACCAGCCTGGCCAACATGGCAAAACCCAGTCTCTACTAAAAATACAAAAATTAGCTGGGTGTGATGGTGGGCACCTGTAATCCCAACTATTTGGGAGGCTGAGGCAGGAGAATTGCTTGAACCCGGGAGGTGGAGTTTCCAGTAAGCTGAGATTATGCCACTGCACTCCAGCCTGGGTGAGTACAAGACTCTGGTTTTTTTTTCTTTTTGAAAAAAACAAAACAAACAAAAAAAGCAACAAAAACCTGCACCGATGTGTTTAAGGGACAGTAAGAAGAAAATAGCATAAGTTAGAGCCAAGAGACGGGAGGCCAGGGAGGTACTTTTTTAATTTTTTTTTTTTTTTTTTTTTCCAGACAGTCTCACTCTGTTGCCCAGGCTGGAGTGCAGTGGTGTGATCTTTGCCATGTTGCCCAGGCTGGTCTTGAACTCCTGGACTCAAGCGATCTGCCCATCTCAGCCTCCCAAAGAGCTGGGATTATAGGTGTGAGCCACTGTGCCCGGCCATGGTTGGTGCTTTTACTCTTAGTAATACAGGAAGCTATTGGAGAGCTTTGGGTTTAGGAGTAAGGAGGGAAGTGAGGCCATGAGAGGGATGACAATCAGTAGAAAGGTGGTGGGACTGGTTGGCTGTTGGCATTAAGTCCAAGAGGGAATGTTCAGAGGTAGGGGTTGGAGAATGGGATTCTCACAATTGGAATTATGGAAGGGTTCTGTTTGTTATGAGGATAAGATATAAGCTTTGATCCTGGGAGTAAGGTAGGTTGGAGGATGAGATCATTGAAGAGGTCAAGGAACAGAGGCCATGGTATTGAAAAGATCAGTATGTGGACATTGAAATTACCCGCGAGTTTTGACCTGAGTACCCACGAGTTGTGACCTGATTATTGTTGGAAAAAATGATGGTGTATTAGTCCGTTTTCATACTGCTATAAAGAACTGCCTGAGACTGGTTAATTTACAAAGGAAAGAGGTTTAATTGACTCACAGTTCAGCATGGCTGGGGAGGCCTCAGGAAACTTACAATCATGGTGGAAGGCAAGGGGGAAGCAAGGCACCTTCTTCACAAGGCGGCAGGAAGGAGAAGTGCCAAACAAAGGGGGAAGAGCCCCTTATAAAACCATCTGATCTTATGAGAACTCACTTACTGTCACAAGAACAGCGTGGGAGAAACTACCCCGGTGATTCAGTTACCTTCACCTGGTCTCTCCCTTGACAAGTGGCGATTATGGGGATTACAATTCAAGATGAGATTTGGGTGGGGACACAAAGCCTAACCATATCAGATGGTGACCTGCAAAGTTGTAGATGACTGTAACAAAGAAGGGAAGCAGGTAGTATAGTAAATTATTCCCATTGACTTCTGCAGCATTTGACAGTGATAGCCCGTTTCCCATTTGCACCCATTTTCTTCTGCACCACTGTTCTTTCTTAGTTCATAACTGAGTTATTTCTCAGCCTGCCCTTCACTATCGGTTCTTTGCTCCCTGTTCACCTGTGCTCTCTTTTCAAGTATTACCTTGTCAAAGTCCTACTCAATTGCCACAGAATAAAAGCTGAAAAGTTTTTCCAGAGATATGTGTGCATAAGGGTGGGGAGGCACACGGGAGGGCAAGTAAATGGAAATCTCTTTTGAGTGCATTCTGAATGAGATGCTTTGTTTTTGTTGCCTTTAATTTTCATTCAGTCTTGTGAGGTACTTTGTATCTGCTTTATACAATAGGAACTAAGGTTCAGAAAGGTAAAATAATTTGTCTTAGACCAGCCAACCAGTAAAGTAGTAGAGAGAGGATTTGAATGTCTATGATTTCAAAATTTGGATCTTTTACTTAGCTGATGTGACAGCCACGAAATAAAGATAAAAAATAGCACCACCAAATTGGGATTTAGATTGAGTAATTCTATCCCAAAACACCAAAAATACATGCTTATTACAAAATAAATATGCCATACAACTAATATGGTAGCTGTTACCAAAACAAATTAGTTCTCTCTCGTACTCACATATCTGTTTTATAGCACTCATCAGTATGATGTGTATAATGGTCCTATTGAAAGTCTTCTGGGATTATAGGCGTGAGCCACCACTCCCAAGGCGGGTGGATCACCTGAGGTCAGGAGGTCGGGACCAGCCTGGCCAACATGGCGAAACCCCATCTCTACTAAAAATACGAAAATTAGCCAGGCGCGGTGGCACGCGCCTGTAGTCCCACCTACTCGGGAGGCTGAGTCAGGAGAATCACTGGAACCTGGTAAGCAGAGGTTGCAGTGAGCCAAGATCACGCCACTGCACTCCAGCTTGGGTGACAGAGTAAGACTGTCTCAAAAATAAAATAAAATAAAAGGCTCCTATTGTTCCTAACTTAGGAGCAGGGATCAGGCCTATCATTCTAGCATCATCTAACAAAGTTCCACAAACAGAGCAACCAGATATCCAAGATCTTTGATCTTAATATCAAATTCATATATTGTCTTTTTTCTATAAAACTTTGAAATGTCTCAGAAATCCCAGTATTTTGGCATTCACACTACTGTCCTGGGTCTTATTCAGTGGTTTAGAGACCACTCGCATATGTGTATACAGTATTTCTCAATGAATCCTTGTTGATTCATTAGCCTTTTAGAGAAAGGACCGTGTGTTGAGGGTTTAGGCTGTTGGTTGAAAGAGAAGGTGATGGCTAGGGAGGAGAGCTTTCCAGGCAGAATGTGGTAATATGCAAAGGCATGGAATCAAGACGCGCAGGAAATGAGCATGGGGTAGCTCTGTAGGACAAACAGTTCAGGGACTGCTGGTGAATTCAGAGAGGATGGACAGGGGCGCAGGGATGAAGCCATCAGTGGCCTCGTTTGTCTTAGAAACCTTAAAGGCAATATGGATACCTTGAAAGATCTTCAAACAAGCAAGTGACCTGATCAAATTTGGGTTTCAGAAAGATTATACTCTGGCAGCCTGGGACAGGTGAATTAAGGATGGTTGAGCCTAGAAATAGAGAAGCCAGTGAAAGAGCTGTTACAGCAACCCAAGTGAGAAATGATGAGGGTTTGTGCTGTGGCAGTGAAGAAGGGAAAAGAGATGTAAGTGTCTAGGTAGATGTGATGCGTTCATTGAAATAGGTATTAGAGGAGAAACATGTTTGGAGAGGAGCAAAGTTCTGGACAAGTTGGGACTGCAACATCAGTAGGACCTCTAAATGGAGTTGTCTTAGGCAGTTGGAGATGTGACAGGACATGCAAACATCTATTAATTTGTCACAAAAATGTTAAGGGCAATGTCCACTTCTTCCTTTGGTATCCTTATATAACATCCATCCTAGCCCAATCAGCCTGAGACCACCAGGGATGAATGTATAGTCTGATTTGTGAATGCTTATAACCAGGAAGACCACACACCAGAGAACTGTGGGCATCTTACCAACAAAGAAAAAGAGAGTTATTAGAAGTTTAGGGGAAGAATGGAGTTTAGGTAAAATTTAAATGAAATGGTGTTTTGACAACCTCAGTACAAAGCATAGGTGTCGTCGTCAGCTCTGGATCGAAAAGTGGACCAGGGTTTTCTTTCTTTGAAGTTAAAAGATTGAGTGTCATGTTCATGTTGAGAAATGTTATTTGACATCCTGGAGCTGGGTTGGAGATCAAGGCTGCTTCTGTGTCAGGGCGCCGTAGATCTTCTAGACAAAAGTGGGATGTTTCCTTCTTACAGATCAGACTTCAAACAGCAAATTTCTGGTAGTTAATGATTTTAGAGAACAAGATTTCCCAATGAATAAGAAAGCAGTAATCACTCAAATAACGGATCTATTAGCACACTCCGTGGCTGTCGTACACCCTCGGGAGACATGTTTCCTTTCAGCTGACTTTGTGTGTGTCTGTTATCCTAGCTTGATTGATACAGCACAGGGCAGATTTTTACATTTGCAGTCCAAGATAATTTTTACTTACGAGCACCACTGAAATATTTAAGAATTAAATCCAAAGAAAGGCTTTTAACAAAAGAACTAGTGTTTTCTGGTCTGACAATGAAGATGAATTTAGAGTTGATAAGAAAAATGGTCCAGGCTCAGTGTGGTGGCTCACGCCTGCCAGCGCTTTGGGAGGCCAAGGCAGGTGGATCACTTGAGGTCAGGAGTTCGAGACCAGCCTGGCCAAGATGGCAAAACCCCATCACTACTAAAAATACAAAAAAAGTAGCCGGGCATGGTAGCAGATGCCTGTAATTGCAGCTACTTGGGAGGCTGAGGCCAGAGAATAGCTTGAACCTGGGAGGCGGACGTTGCAGTGAGCCGAGATTGCTCCACTGCACTCCAGCCTGGGTGACAGAGCGAGACTCTCTGTCAAGAAAGAAAGAGAGAGAGAGAGAGAAGGAAGGGAGGGAGGGAGGGAGGGAGGGAGGGAGGGAAGGGAATGGAAGGAAGGGAAGGGAAGTAAGAAAAATGGTCCAATGTGTTCTCATTTGAAGCCTTCTGACCTACCTGAGAGCTCTGTGGACTCTGAACTCGCCAGCAAGCCTGACCTGTGTGCACATGGGTCCATTTCTTGAGAAGGTTCCTGAGTTATTCAAATTCTCAGTATGGTCTGTAATCCAAAAAGGATTAGGATTCACTGGTCTGTACTCTCCTCAGAGACTTTTTCATCAAATGCCTCAATTCAAAATGGTTCTAGACAATGAGAACACATCACAGGAAAGGGAACATCACACACTGGGGCCTGTTGTGGGGTGGGGGGAGGGGGGGACAGATAGCATTAGGAGGTATACCTAATGTTAAATGGCGAGTTACTGGGTGCAGCACACCAACATGGCACATGTATACATATGTAACTAACCTGCACGTTGTGCACGTGTACCCTAAAACTTAAAGTATAATAAAAAAAAAAAGAAAAACATCATTCATAGTTACAGCTGACACACACACACACACACACACACAAAATGGTTCTAGAATATAAATCACTTAAATTTATGTTGAATAATATGTTACATTTAAATCTGTGCTTTTGCTTATCTAAGCTGCATAACTTGCCCTTATTTCAAATCCTTTTTTTTTCCAACAGATAAAATATTTTGATAAAAGAAGAGACTACTTAAAATTCAAAGAAAAATTTGAAGCAGGACAATTTGAGCCTTCAGAAACAACTGCAAAATCCTAGGCTGTTCATAAAGATTGAAAGTATTCTTTCTGGACATTGAAAAAGCTCCACTGACTATGGAACAGTAATAGTTTGAATCATAGTGAACATCAATACTTGTTCCCTATATACGACACTTGATAATTAAGATGATCAAGAACCAGAAGATCTGTGAAGAAATGAAATAAAATGGTATTTAGTAAGAAATCTCTATTTTAAGAAAAAAAGTAAAACCTGTTATAAACACATGCACTTTTGTTTTGTTTTTGTTTTGTTTTTAATTAGAGGATGGGTAGTAGGCAGATGATAAAATTTATAATATACATAGAAGTGAAATAAATGGGAGTTAGCATTTTAATACAGGCAAGAGCTATTACAACAACCCAAGTGAGAAATGATGAGGGTTTGTGGAAGGTTTATAAGGAAGAAGGGTGAACTTAAAATATACAAGTAAAATAATAAAAGCCATCTATAAAAAAGCCCATAGCTAATATCAACACTTAATGTTGGGACAGGAACTGGATGTCTAGCTAGTCCAGTGAGACAAAAAAGAAAAAGCATACACACTGGGAAGGAAGAAAGAAAACTAGCTCTACTCACATATAATAAATACTATCTTATAGAATGTACCAATGGATGCACAAAAAGAGCTCCTAGAACTATAAGTCAATCATAGAAAGGTTGCAGGAAACAAGGTCAATATACACAAGGAAAATTATATTCCTATATATCAGCAATAAACAACTGGAATTTAAAACTTAAAAATACCATTTGTGAATAGCACCAAAAAAAATTAAAGGAATACTTAGGTATAAATCTAATATATGGAGGCCTCTATGCTGAGAACTAGAAAACACTTGGAAGCAGACTACATCAGATTAAATGGAGAGGTATACAGTTGGCCCTCTGTGGGTTCTGCATCCATGGATTCAACCCCGAAGAGAAAATTTTTGGGAAAAGGAAAAACGAGTAAAAATAATAAAAATTTAAAAATCCAGTATAACACCTATTTACATTGTATTAGGTATTGTAAGTCATTGAGATGATTTAAAGTATAGGCATACCTCAAAGATACTGCAGGTTTGGTTACAGACCACTGCATTAAAGTGAATATCACAATAGAGTGGGTTACACAAATGTTTTGGTTTTCCAGTACACATAGAAGTTATGTTTATACTGTTGTCTAGTAAGTGTGCAATAGCATTATGTCTGCTCAGTATATATGCCTTCATTTTAAAATACTTTTTATTACTAAAAAATGCTAAAGATTCTCTGAGTCTTCAGCGAGTTGTCATCCTTTTGCTGGTAGAGGGTCTTGCCTCGATGTTGATGGCTGCGGACTGATCAAGGTGGGGGGTGGTTGCTGAAGTTTGGGGTGGCTGTGGCAATTTCTTAAGACAATTAAGTTTGCTGTATTGATTGACTCTTCATTTCACAAAAGATTTCTCTGTAGTGTGCAATGCTGTTTGATAGTATTTTACCTATAGTAGAACTGCTTCCAAAATTGGAGTCAATCCTCTTAAACCCTGCTGCTGCTTTATCACCTGAGTTTATGTCATATTCTAAATGCTTTGTTATTCCAACAGTATTCACAGCATCTTCACCAGGAATAGGTTCCATCTCAAGAAATCATTTTCTTTGCTCATCCATAAAAAGCAACTTCTCATCCATTCAAGATCATGAGATTGCAGCAATTGTCACATCAGGCTTTTTTTTTTTTTTGAGACAGGGTCTCACTCTGTCACTCAGGCTGGAGTGCAATGGTGCGATCTTGGCTCACTGCAACCTCTGCTTCCCGGGTTCAAACGATTCTCCCACCACAGCCTCCCGAGTAGCTGGGACTATAGGGGCGTACCACACCTAGCTAATTTTTGTATTTTTTGGTAGAGATGGGGTTTCACCATGTTGGCCAGGCTGGTCTCAAACTCCTCACCTCAAGTGATCTTCCCACCTCGGCCTCCCAATGCTAGGATTACAGGCATGAGCCACCACGCCCGGCCAGGCTTCACTTCTAATTCTAGTTCTCTTGTTATTTCTACCACATCTGCAGTTCCTTCCTCCAACCTGAAGTCACCTGCTGCATTAATAGCCCCTAACAAGTTGCCTGTCCTTTAAAACTTTGAAGCCAGGCATTGACTTCTCTCTAGCTCTGAAAGTCCTAGATGGCATCCTCTGCCAAAAGAAGGCTGTTTCATCAACGTCGAAAATCTGTGTAGTGTGGCCACCTTCATCAGTGATCTTGGCTAGATCTGGATGATTTGCTGCAGCTTCTGCATGAGCACTTGCTTCTTCACCTTGCTCTTTTTTGGAGGTAGTTTCTTTCCTCACGCTTCATTAACCAATGTCTGCTAGCTTCACAGTTTTCTGCTGTAGCTTCCTCACCTCTCAGCCTTTATAAAATTGAAGACAACTAGGGCTTTGCTCTGGATAAGGCTTTGGTTTAAGGGAATATTGTGGCTGGTTTGATCGTCTATCCGGAAAACTCAAACTTTCTCCATATCAGCAATAAGACTTTCACTTTCTTATTGATGTGTTCACTGGAGTCGCACTTTTAATTTCAAGAACTTTTCCTTTGCATTCACAACTTGGCTAAGCATTTGGTGCAAGAGGCCTAGCTTTTGGCCTGTGTCAGCTTTTGACATTGGCTTCCTCACTAAGCTCTTTCATTTCTAGCTTTTGATTTAAAGCGAGAGACGTGCCACTTTTCCTTTCACTTGAACACTTTAGAGGCCATCAATAGTGTTATTAATTGGCCTAATTTCAATATTGTTGTCTCAGGGAATAGGGAGTCCTGAGGAGAAGAGAGAGATGGCAGCCAGTGAGAGGAGCAGTCAGAACACACAATTTTTTTTTTTTTTTTGAGATGAGTCTTGCTCTGTCACCAGGCTGCAGTGCAGTGGCATGATCTTGGCTCACTGCAACCTCTGCCTCCTGGATTCAAGCGATTCTCCTGCCTCAGCTTCCTGAGTAGCTGGGACTACGGTCGCGTGCCACCATGCCCAGTTAATTTTTGTATTTTTAGTAGAGACGGTGTTTCACCATGTTGGCCAGGCTGGTCTCAAACTCCTGACCTCAAGGAATCCGCCCGCCTCAGCCTCCCAAAGTGCTGGGATTACAGGAGTGAGCCACCACACCCAGCCAGAACACACACATTTATCAGTTAAGTTCACCATCTTACATGGGTACAGTTTGTGGCACCCCAAAGCAATTATAAAAGTAACATCAAAGATCACTGATCACAGATCACCATAATAGATGAAGCAATGAAAACATTTGAAATACTGTGAGAATTAGCAAAACTAACAGAGACACATGCTGTCGGGAAAATGGCACAGATAGATATGATTGACACAAGGTTGCCACAAACCTTCAATTTGTAAAAAATGCATTATCTGTGAAGCACAATAAATCAAGTGCAATAAAATGAGGTATGCCTGTATAAGGGAGGATATGTATAGATTATATGCAAATACTATACCATTTTATATAAGAAACTTGAGCATCTGCAGATTTTGGTATCTGCAGAGGGTCTTGGAGCCAATGCATCATGGATACTGAGGGACGACTATACTGTGTTCATGGATTAGAAGACTCGCTATTGTTAAGATATGGTTAAATTCTCTCCAATTTGATCTATAGGTTCAATACAACCCCAATCAAAATCTCAATAAGCTTTTTTGTAGATATTGACAAGCTGATTCTAAAATTTATATGGAAAAGTGAAGGAACTAAAATAGTCAATTCTAAAAGGAAGAACAAAGTTGGAGGATTCACATTACTTGATTTCAAGACATATTTGGAAGGTACAGTAATCAACACAGTATGGTATGGGCAAAACGAAAGATATAGTTTAATGGAACAATAGAGACCCATATAATAGTCAACTGTGTTTGGACAGAAGTACAAAGGCATTTCAACAGAGAAAGGATAATCTTTTCAACAAATAGTGCTAGAAAAATTGGATATCCAAACACACCAAAAAATAAACTTTAACATCCTTACGCTTGGTACAAAAATTAACTCAAAATGGATCATAGAGCTAAATGTAAAATGTAAAACTATAAAACTTGAAGAAAATATGAAGAAGTTCTGCATGATCTTGTGTCTGGAAATGAATTTTCAGATAAAGCATCAAAAGCACAATCCATACAAGTAAAAGCTAAATTGGACTTTATCAAAATTAAAAACTTTTGCTCTGCGAAAGATACTCTTAAAATAATGAAGGTAAATTACAGACTGAGAGACAATGTTTGCAAATCATATATTTTATGAGGAACTTGCATCCAGAATAAATCTTGTAATTCTCAAAATAAGAAAAACAATCCAGTTTAAAAAATAAGATTTTGTACATACTTCTTAGAAGGTATACTCTGAAAAATATATCAAAAGATGCTCCATGTTACGAAACATTAGAGTAATGCAAATTAATACCACAATGACATAATCACTACACACCTATTAGAGTGGCTTGAATTAAAAAGTTGACAACACCAAGTGCTGCCGACGATGCAGAGCAACAGTCATTCACTGCTGCTGGCTATGGAAAAAATAAAGCCCCGTTGGAAAACAGCTTTTTTACAGAGTTAAACATACACTTACCTTATGACCCGGTAATCACACTCCTAGGTATTTCACCGAATGAACTGAAAACAAAACCTGTATATGAATATTTACTCAAAGCAGCTTTATTCATAATCACCAAAACCTTGAAACAACCCAGATGCCTACAACAGAGGAATGGATAAACTGCGATACATCTATGAATGGGATACCACTCAGCACTAAGGAAAAATTAACTTCTGAGTCACACAACATAGATGAGCTTTAAATGCACTTTCCTATGTGAAGAAGCCAGATCCAAAAGGCTACATACTATATGCTGCCATTTATAAGATTCTGGAAAAGGTGAAACTGAAGAATAGAGAACAGATCAGTGGTTACCAATGGTTGGGATAAGGAGAGGGGTTGACTATGAAGGGGTCACCCAAGTAAACTTTGGGTGACAAAACTATGGCACTGTGGTGACAGATTCATGAGTTCACACTTGTCAAAATCCAGACTGTTCACTATAAAAAGTGACCTGAATGCACAAATAAAATCAACCAGGATATAGGGGGGATTACAAGATGGAATGCAGGTCGTGATGAGTCTAGTTGTATTATAAAATATATGACATAACCCTTTTCAAAGAGGTGGGTAAGAAAGGGACTGACCTAGGTAACTGGAAAATGGTGTTTTGACCAGATACTGTAAGGCTACGGACAAAAAGAACTGTACACAGTTGCTAAATTTGCAATTCTGAAACTACGTTTACATTAGGATTGAACAAATAAGTAAATATAGATAATGAGAACCAGGTCTAGGTCAGAAAAAGCAGTTAAAAGCAAGAGGTGAATGTTAGAATGAATCCTGTGGTGCTGGATTGTGTCAGAGATGTCAGTACGAAGTCACGTTTATGTTCACCTATCTAGACTGATAAAGGCAGAAACATCATAGATATGTACATACATGGGTTGGTAGACATACACAGATCCCCTAGTTCCATCCACTGACAGGGCTTGTAATTTGCATAGCATCCAAATACTCCCCCAAATATTAATTACTGTGGTAATTTTAACAGGTGCTCCTGAATTCTTTGATACTCCTCCCTCCCACAGAGTTTACACTCCCTACCCTTTAGTACAGACTGGGCTTAGTCATTCACTTTTTTTTTTTTTTTTTTTGAGACAGTCTCGCTCTGTCACCCAGGCTGGAGTGTGGTGGCACGATCTTGGCTCACTGCAAGCTCCGCCTCCCGGGTTCACACCATTCTCCTGCCTCAGCTTCCTGAGTAGCTGGGACTACAGGCAGCCACCACCATGCCCGGCTAATTTTTTGTATTTTTAGTAGAGACGGGGTTTCACCGTGTTAGCCAGGATGGTCTCGATCTCCTGACCTCGTGATCTGCCCGCCCCGGCCTCCCAAAGTGCTGGGATTACAGGCGTGAGCCACCGCGCCCACCCTAGTCACTCACTTTTAACAGACTAAGAGGACAGGTAGCAACTTCACAGAGAAGAATGTGGCAAGCGCAGCCTTCATCCATTGATGGGGGTAGTCCATCCTGCTGGTGCCATGAGCCGCCTAACACGATGTGATGGGAAGGCACCTGACCACTGGCATGTTCTTCCTTAAAACCCACAAACTCAGTCTAATGAGAAAACACCAGACAAGCCCAAATTATGG
Source organism: Homo sapiens (assembly GCF_000001405.40). Classification (NCBI taxonomy): domain Eukaryota; kingdom Metazoa; phylum Chordata; class Mammalia; order Primates; family Hominidae; genus Homo; species Homo sapiens. The sequence continues at coordinate 234,390,020 of NC_000001.11, forward strand.
GACATTCACAGAATACTTGGCCAGTACTCTTCAAGTGTCCAGGTCATGGAAAGACAAGGAAAGACTGAAGATCTGTCAGAGATATGAGGAGACTAAGGGAACACACAATGTGGTATCCTGGGTTGGCTCCTGGGGCAGAAAACAGAGTGGAAAACAGAGTGGAAAATGGGAGATTTGAATAAAGCCTATAGTCTAGTGAAGAGAGCCATTATCAATGGTTACTTTCTCAGCTTTGATGAAGGTTACCATGGTTATTAAGATCACATTAGAGGCATGTGGGTGAAGGGTGTATGAAAACTTTGTGTACTCTCTTTGCAACCCTTCTACAAAACAGTCATTTCTAAAGAAAACTGCAGAAGAAAATATTTACAGGTAATGGGCTCAAATTTAAATATTATTTAAAAGGACCCAGATATAATTGAAATTCATTGCTGGGTAGTGATAAATAGTTACTCATAAATAATTAAGTAATAAATGCCAGAGGAAAAAAATTGAAAGAACAGAAACAATCAACACTTACAGGTTCCATTCTGTTGCGATAAAGATATACAGGAGTAATTCAACTCCTTTAGGTCCATGTTCATAGTTGTCAGAATATAGACTATTTCTAACCACTATTTGATCTCTGTGTGCAAAGGTGATATGAAAAACTTCATATAAACTTTTTTTTTTTTTTTTTTTTGAGATGGAGTCTCATTCTCTCATTCAGGCTGGAGTGCACTGGCGCAATCTCGGCTCACTGCAGCCTCTGCCTCCCAGGTTCAAGCAATTCTCCTGCCTCAGCCTCCCAGGTTCAAGCAATTCTCCTGCCTCAGCCTCCCAAGTAGCTGGGATTACAGGTGCATGTCACCACACCCAGCTAATTTTTGTATTTTTAGTAGAGACAGGGTTTCACCATGTTGGCCAGGCTGGTCTCAAATTCCTGAGCTCAGGTGATCCACCCGCCTTGGCCTCCCAAAGTGTGGGGGGCGTGAGCCATAGCACCTGGCCATAAACTTACTGTGAATGATTATGGCCTAGTTCATGGCTTTAAAAATAAATTAAAGCCTACTACCTGAGCATTCTGAGCCTCACAGGGATGCTGGCTCTGCATCCTGCCAAATGTGTTCCCGAGGGGAGTACAGAGACGGAAAGCGGCACAGAGGCTGATGACCCCTCTTCATTCGGAACCTTTGCCTCAACCTCCCTGGTCTCCATATGACTCAAGGGTATGAGTGTTCACAGATGATCGCTGCTTTAACTCTGCTTTATCATAGTCCACACTTCTGACAAAAGGCGTTTCTAGGAAATAAATTCTCTCTTAAAAAATCCATTGTTTTATTTCCACAATTGCTTAAAATATTTTATTAAAGGAAGAATACAATTTAACAAAAAGTGTTTATTAAAGGGGAAAATATATAGTAATATGTTTAAGGCACATGGCAAACTTTTGGCATTAAATTGCAAGAAAAAAGAAATACAAATTATCACAATAAATTTCAGAATCTGTTTCTTTAGTCCAAATAGTTTTTTTTAAAAAAGTCTGAACAGCAGCAGCAGTTCACTAAGGAAGGCACATCATGGCTTGGTATCTCCGTGCGAGAGCAGCTGCTGCCTGGTGTACTCCCAGATCAGCAGGGCTCCACTCACATGGACATTCAGGGAGCGGATAATGCCCTGTTGAGGAATTTCCACACAAACGTCCAACTGTTGGATCAGATTTGCTGGAATTCCCTCACGTTCATTTCTGAGGAAGAAAATGGAAGAAAGATTAGTTTTCCTGTAACAAACAATTTTTCTCTTTGATATTCTTTTTATTTTTTGTTTATTCACTTATTTTTCTCTTTGATATTCTGAATGTTACTAAAAGAAACATTAACAAATGAAGTTAAGTCTGTAGTACCGGGAAATAAATAAGAGTGTAAAAAAAAAGACTGATGGGTCAATTCCATGTTCAGCTGGCCATGCCAGAGAGATGAAATAAAAGGAAAGCCCAGGGAGCTTCTTATAAATGTTACAAATCAAAGAAAAGTGCAGGTATGAGCAGGAGTCAGGGTAAACTGTAAAACAGAAAAGTAACATCTTCTAGCCAGGCACGGTGGCTCACGCCTGTAATCCCACCATGGAGGCCAAGGCCAGAGGATCACTTGAGGTCAGGAGTTCGAGACCAGCCTAGCCAACATGGTGAAACCCTGGGTCTCGTGGAGCATGCCTGTAATCCCAGCTACTTGGGAAGCTGATGCCTGAAAATTGCTTGAGCCAATGAGGCAGAGGTTGTAGTGAGCCGAGATTGTGCCACTACACTCCAGCCTGGGCTACAGAGTGAGACTCCGTCTCAAAAACAAAAAAAAACAAGGTAACATCTTCCAGTAGTCTGGGGCTCAGAGAATATACTATGGACACAAGAAGCTTCTTACCCCAACAAGAGCAGAGATTTCTCAGGAAAGCAATATTGGGTTAGGTCTAAACTTTTGGCAGTTTGTTCCACTCCAATGATGGTATAACCTTCTGTTTTCTTCTGCTGCAGATAATCAATTAGCTGAGGTGGTTTTACCTGAATATTAGTTTAAAAAGAACAGAATATTCATTCAGTTATAGCCCTGCTTGGAGTAAATTAGAGTTAAAAAACGTATTAACCTAAACTTAACTCTTTAAAAGAAAAAGGAGAGAATTATACATTATAAAAAAGAACTCTCCCAACATGACATCAATTTCTTTTTTTTTTTTTTTGAGGTGGAGTCTTGCTGTGTCACCCAGGCTGGAGTGCAGTGGCGCGATCTTGGCTCACTGCAAGCTCCGCCTCCCGGGTTCACGCCATTCTCCTGCCTCAGCATCCCAAGTAGCTGGGACTACAGGCGCCCACCACCACGCCCGGCTAATTTTTTTTTATTTTTTATTTTTTAGTAGAGATGGGGTTTCACTGTGTTAGCCAGGATGGTCTCGATCTCCTGAGCTTGTGATCCGCCCGCCTCGGCCTCCCAAAGTGCTGGGATTACAGGCGTGAGCCACCGCGCCCAGCCACCATGATATAAATTTCTAAGAATTATTCCTACATCAAGAGTGGGCTGTAACAGGATATGTTTTACTGAACAGAATTCTACATTATTGATGATTTCTAAAACTGTGACCTATAAAAAAATAAGTAGAAAAACAGAAGTGAGCTGTATGTTATTTTTAAACACTGTTCTTAAATGATTAAAGACTGCACTATTATAAATTATGCAAAAGGACTAATACACAAAGATAGAGCACTATAAAATATTTTTACAAATACAAACTTTTTTTTAAACTTTTATTTTAGGTTCACGGGTACATGTGCGGGCTTGTTTTAAGAACTTTAATAATAAATTACTTTCCACCCACCTCCACTAGAGGAAGCCACTGTTCTGCAGAGACACTGAGGTGCTGAAACTGTTTGTCGCTGATACACTGAAGGCTGCCAACAACGAGCACTGAAGCCCCAAATACCTCACAGGTCCTGCACAGTCCTGCACAGAACACCTGGGATCATTAAGATTGTTCCCAGCACAATGCTAAGCTCATCATGTCGCATACATTCCTTTGAAGCTCCCGTGGCAGTGGATTAATTAAAAAATGTTGAAGACCAAAAGCTTTCAGGCAAAGCTCCCAGAAAACTCCAACTTTACCTCCTAAATTGGTCGGTTTGTCGATGAGCGAGGCCACAACGATGAGTCTACTAATTGACTTTCCAAGTCTGGCAGCACGATCCTGAAACAGGAGCTCCAGGTCTAAGTCGGAAACACGACTGTTCCACGGGATAATCTTCTTCTGAACGTCGGTCCACTCCGCTTGGTTATCTGCTTCGACCAAATTAGTACCTGGGAAGGAAAAAGAAAACAATCCCACATATAAATAAATCTGAATCTCTATATATTTATGTATACATGTATATGTATTTTTAAGAATGTGAAATAATTTAGAATGAGATAATTTAGAATGAGACTTAACAAAGCATTAAGTAAAAAACTTTAGTTGGATTCAGACACAATTCCCATTTGTAGTAGTAACTTTAAGTTTTCAAAATCAGCTTTATTAACCAACATATTATGATACTTCATGGAAACATGAGATACACGTTTTTTCACGTTTTAGCATATCTGAAATTGAGACACATCTTAGAATCCAGAGTATCATAGTTTGGTAACATTTTTTTCCTTGGAAGTACATAAAATAATGATGTATCTTACAAACAGCAGTATATTAGATTGGGATTTTCTATGGAAAGACTATTTCTGAAAACAATATAATAAAATATCTAAAATAATTTTAAAAGTGCTGGAGTAACTTTTCTAAAATGAAGGATGTTGTATAAAGCAGTTATCTCTTGACAAAAGTGATGAGGACACAGAACGTTACTAGCCTATCTGACTGCAGTGTTTTCATCTCTGTAGTACAGGACTGAGACTCTACCTCTCAGGCTCTTCCTCAACTCTGTCCTACTCCAAACTGCTTTCTGAGCAATCAAGTGGCACTTAGTTCACTTAGGATAGGACAGACATGCAAATAACTGTAACACAGTACAACAGTGAAGGTAATGCTTACACAGAAAGGGGTTACTAATGTCTAGGGGAGGGAGAAGCAAAGGGTAAGACCCCGGAAGGCTCGCGGGAAGGAAGGTAAAAGTTTGCAAAGCAGACAGTAGATACAGCATGTGCACATGCATGGGATGTAGAAGCAACATGGTTCAGACAGCAGCAAGTACCTTGGTTTAGTGCACAGCCTGCAATGGAGTGGAGGGAGATGGCTCAAACCAAAGGGCTTTGCATACAATGATAAAGAATTTATTCTGTTGGCCAGGCATGGTGGCTCATGCCTGTAATCCCAGAACTTTGGGAGGCTGAGGGAGGATCACCTGAGGTCAGGAGTTTGAGACCAGCCTGGCCAACATGGTGAAACCCCGACTCTACTAAAAATAACACATTAGCCAGGTGTGGTGGTGGACGCCTATAATCCCAGCACTTTAGGAGGCCAAGGCGGGAGGATCACCTGAGGTCAGGAGTTTGAGGCCGGCCTGGCCAACATAGCGAAACCCCATCTCTACTAAAAATACAAACATTAGCCAGGCATGGTGGTAGACGCCTATAATCCCAGCTACTAGGGAGGCTGAGGCACGAGAATCGCTTGAACCCGTGAGGCAGAGGTTGCAGTGAGCTGAGATCGTGCCACTTCACTCCAGCCTGCAGCCTGAGAGACAGAGCGAGACTCCGTCTCAAAGAAAAAAAAAAATTATTCCACAGTTAAAAACCATTAAAAAATTTTAAGAAGGAGAGTAACAGTACTGCTGTGTGTTTTAGAAAAATCTCTTTTAATAGCTATGTGGAGGCTAGAAAACCATTAAGGGGCTTTTGTAGTAGTCCAGGTAAAAACAATGCCAGTCTAAATGAAGACAAGGCAAGAGGGGCTAAAGAAGAGGAGGAGGAGGCAGCTTTGGGAAGTGAAATCGCCAAGACTGGGTAACGGATGTGGCAAGAGCAAAAACAGGACAAGAACGACTTCCACGATGATTGACCAATACCATTAATAGGGCATACAGAGCAGGCACTTTTGGGCAGAAAGGCAAACTGAATTTGGATATGGTGATATTTCAAGAGCTTAAGGAATATCCCGGTGCTAATGTCCAGTCTGTTCAGGACAGAGGCTGGGCAGCAGATAAGGATTTGAAAGTTATAGTTACACAGGCGGTGGTTTCAAGTTGGGGACATTAATAAATGTGTTCTGGGAGAGGATGAAGAGTGAGAAGAAGACTGGGCCCGTGAAAACCTTCAGTGGCAGGAGGAGAGGTTGGTCAGAAGGTACAAAGTTAGTCAGTCAGGAATAAGCTCTTGTGTTCTAGTACACAGTAAGATGACTATAGGTAACAATAATGTATGTATACTTCCAAATAGCTAGAAGAGAGGATTTTCCATGTTCTCATCACAAACGTGAGAGGTGACAGATATGCTAATTATCCTGATTTGACCATTACACAATGTATATATGCATGAAAACGCCACACTGTACCCCATAAATATGTACAATTATTATTTGTCAATTAAAAATGAAGTAAAACTTCTTTAAAAAAGAAAAAAAATTAGGGGGATACTAACATTTAAGCCTCAGCATGGAAAGTCTATTACAACATGCCCCTCTTTACCAAAAACAGGCAGAACAGACAGACCTCGTTAGCCATTCTGCCATTCCAGTAACACTGTATTTCCCTGCTCCGCTTTACGCAGAACTCGACAGCTGCCTACAATGCCATCTCTCTTCCCTCTCCTCCCAGGCTCTACCCAACCGCACTGGGAAGTGCCTCCTGTCACTGTCCTTTGCTCTAGAATCTTCACAGTTGCTCTTCCTTTTCCAGTAAAGCTCTCGCCGGGACAGACCTTGCCTTGCCTTGCCCATACTTCCTTGGGGTCTCTGCTCAATGTCAACTCCTTAGAAAGGTCTTTCTCACCCTCCGTCCCTCTCTTCACCCTGCTTTGTTTTTTCACGGTACTTCTACTACCAGACACTGTGTTAGGTACGTGCTCCCTGTTGTCTCCTCTGTAAGAATGTGGGCTCTATGAGGCAGGGACTCGGTCTCATGTCTAACACGCAGGAGACAATCAATCAATCTTTGTTGAATGAATAAATTTAGGATAGTATGTCTTAAAACACATTAGTGAACCATCCAGAGGCCTGACAAAAATTGCATTTTCCCAGAACTCTCCTCCAGAGATACTGAATTTAAACTAAGGGTGGTTCCAGACCCATAATTGGCCTTTAAAAAAAAAGAAAAAAAAAATCTAAGGGTGGGACATGGAATCTGAATTTTCAACAAGTCACATGTGAGTCCTGAAGACATGGAAAGTTTGGAGAAGCACCGATGTCAGGGGCATGTGGGGGACTCAGAATGAGAAGGGTCAGAGTAAGGAGGAAAGGCAGGATGGCCGGAGACTGGCAAACATGTGGCACAGAATGGGCAGGTGCAATCTGAGGGCAGCGTCCATTTTCCACTCGGACTGTGTAAAAGAAACCGAAAGAAAATTTCTAATTTCCTGAAAGAAGTTTCAAAGGTGGTAATCGGCTGGGGAGAGTCAGAATGAGGCTAAAATGTGAGTGACAGACTGATAGGAAGATAGCCTACAGTCATTAAGACGGTCATTTTTAAATTGAGTTAGGGAACCTGATTCTTGGGTTTTTAGGACAGCTTGACTGTGAAGGGGAAGAGGAGGAGGAGGGGGAGGAGGGGGGAAGGGGGAGGGGATGGGAAAGTGGAGAGGGAGGGAAGGGAGAAGGGAGTAGGGGAGGCAGAGGAGGGGGAAGGGGAGAAAGGGGAGTGGGAGGAGAGGGAGGAGGGGGAGGGGGAGGATGGGGAGGAGGGGTGAGGGGGAGGAGGCGGAGGGGGAGGACGGGGATGGGGAGGAGGGGGAAGAGGGGGGAGGAGGGGGAAGAGGGGGGAGGAGGGGGAAGATGGGGGAGGGGAAGGAGGGAGGATGGGGAAGAGGGGGAGGGGGGAAGGGGGAGGGGGAAGGGGGATGGGGAAGGATGGGGATGGGGAGGAGGGGAAAGAGGGAGGGGGGAAGGGGGATGGGGATGGGGAGGAGGAGGAAGAGGGGAGGAGGTGGGGGAAGAGGGGAGGAGGTGGGGGAAGAGGGGAGGGGGAGGGGGAAGAGGGGAGGAGGGGGGAAGAGGGGAGGAGGTGAGGGAAGAGGGGGAGGGGGAGAGGGGGAAGAGGGGGAAGAGAGGGAGGAGGGAGAAGAGGGGGGAGGGGGAAGAGGGGGAGGAGGGGGAGGAGGCGGGGGAGGAGGGGGAGGAGGCGGGGGAAGAGGGGGAGGGAGGGGGAGGGGAGGAGGGAGGGGAGGGGGAGGAGGGGGAGGAGAGGAATGTGGGTCCCAGAGGAAGCTGGTGGAAAGGAGTCATTGTACAGGGAAGGATGAGACAGAGGAGAAGGGATAACATGAAGCGGCGTCCAACCAACCAAGAGGGGACTAGAATCAAGAGCTCTGCTTTATTCCTATGAAGGACAAAAAAAGAGATTTCATCATTTGGTCCTTTTGGAAATGTTTATTTTTACAGAAATATATAGTAGAAAAGCAATGAGTGTTAACGAACAATACTACTTAAAAGGGAGGCCACTGGCCATCAGCTTTATATAAAGCAGATCAGGCTTCCTTTGGCTTTTTTTTTTTTTTTAAATAGCTTTAAAGCTAAGTTTCACTAAAAGTGTTAGTCAAAGTTATACCACACTTTTTCACTGTCTTTTCCCTAAGTGGAAAGGCAGAGGTCACCATGTCAATGAAAGTGATATTATTATTAACTACCTGTCCTTAGTAACTTAAATCAAAAAAATCTAACCAGATCAACAAGGGGAAAAAATAAAATGAAAATTATTTTTTACCTATGTCTTGCTGAGACCAGTCACCTGGTTTTAGTTTACTAAGTTGAGTTTGAGAAAGGTACCACTGAAATCCCGCAGCTAAAGGAACATCAGTGAATCTGGTAAATTTATCAATGGTGATCCATTCATCTTCAATAAGGCCTGAAAGGCGTGGAAGGATGTAAAATATGGTCTGAAAAGAGAATTATAAAATCTAAATTTCTTCCCTTAAGAATAACAAAGAAATATATAACATTTAAAATACAACTTAATTATTAATGATATATTCTCCAAACTATTACATCTGATCAAACTATATACTTTCATTTATATCTTATAGCAACTGTCTATATATATTTCTCATCTTCTCAGAAATTAGGGGATTAATTTAGGAAACCCCTGAGAGGAGGCAGAACTTGTACTCTGGTACTTCTAACTGTGTGTAATAAACCAGTATGTGCCTAATAAAAACAGTGTTTCAGAAGTAATCAGTTCTAATGATGGACAGTATTTGGATAAGTGCAATTTACTGACAACTAAATACCTCCAAAGGCAATCAAGTTCAAGCTCTTTTCATGACAAGTCTTTTACTCTCGTACCCATTAGATAAATTTAGAATCTGAATTCTGGTTTGACTAATATAATTAGTTATGTGACGTTAGGCAAGTGATTCAGCCTTTCTTGGCTTCAACTTCCTCATTTGTAAGACGAGGATAAAATCAGATTACAACAACATATTAAAGTGTTCGTGAACACGGCATAGTCTGACACCACTGTAAACAGTCATCGCATAAGCAATCCTCCTTTGCTTTTCTTACCTACTAAAAGAACTGCACCATAAAAATGACCAACAGTGAAACAAGTACATAGGAAGCAGAGGTCCAAGTAACAGGCAACTTAAAAACGAAACAATACTCTTAGCAGCAATGCACATGTCTTCATGAAAGGTTTTAGAATGAATATGGTTTTCTTCACACTAGCTATATCTGTGCAAACTTAAACTGGCACAATGATCACGACTACATGTTGATTAAGGGGGAACCAAGTAGGGGGCACCAAGTACAGCTCCAAATACATGAAGACTAAACTAGTTCAACCATTGTGGAAGTCAGTGTGGCGATTCCTCAGGGATCTAGAACTAGAAATACCATTTGACCCAGCCATCCCATTACTGGGTATATACACAAGGACTATAAATCATGCTGCTATAAAGACACATGCACACGTATGTTTATTGCGGCACTATTCACAATAGCAAAGACTTGGAACCAACCCAAATGTCCAACAATGATAGACTGGATTAAGAAAATGTGGCACATATACACCATGGAATACTATGAGGCCATAAAAAATGATGAGTTCATGTCCTTTGTAGGGACATGGATGAAATTGGAAATCATCATTCTCAGTAAACTATCGCAAGAACGAAAAACCAAACACCGCATATTCTCACTCATAGGTGGAAACTGAACAATGAGAACACACGGACACAGGAAGGGGAACATTACACTCTGGGGACTGTTGTGGGGTGGGGGGAGGGGGGGAGGGATAGCTTTAGGAGATATACCTAATGCTAGATGACGAGTTGGTGGGTGCAGCACACGACCATGGCACATTTATACATATGTAACTAACCTGCACATTGTGCACATGTAACCTAAAACTTAAAGTATAATAATAATAAAATAAAAACAAAAAAAAAACAAATACATGAAGAGATACAGTTCCTATGAACAATTAAGCCCCATTATTTTATTTACACATACACCTTTAATTCATTTCATGACTGGAGAATAAATCATAAAACATATGAGAGTGAGGTGGTCAAAGGTAAGGATGAGGGAGGGCAGGAGGGAGGCAAAGGACTTACTCCTGTTGGAAGACTGAATAGAAAAAGGTTGACTTAACACTAGAGTGACTAGAGGAGTCCTGCAGAAAGATGCCGGACAAAGCATTCTGGGCGCTAAAGAACACAGAGCAGAGCATATTAAAATCTTTGAAAAATCCTAAATGATATTTGCAGTGAAGCAGCAGAAAATACACATTAGTGTTCTAGGATGCATATCTTGCAATATATAGATCTATACTTTTTTACAGATCAGTTTATCAATAATCTTAGTAATCCACCAAAAAAATTGCTTATGCACAGCAGCTTAAGTTACCAATAACTTATAAGTTCTTCAGAGGAAAAGCCCTAGGTCAGTGATTTAAATTCAAGGGCAGCACATTATAATTACAGTTGAAAAAGGGAGAAGGTATCATAATTTATGCAATGTCTAATGATTTACATATTGAATTAATTTACATGTTAATCATAATAAGCATGTTTATGGTTCTTAAAATTATATAAGCACATTTTGTTACAGTCAGTGAGGTGATGTATCATCTCCTATACAATTCTCATTACCCAGAACCTAAAAATTGCCATTAACAAAAAAGTATATCTTTTTGTTCTTTCATTAACAATGGGCTTCAGTACAATGAAATCTCACCTGCACAAATGTTCTCACTCATTTCCTTTTAATGTCAGAACAGATTTCTGTTTAGAGTTAAATATTCCCTTCCATTGTTTACAAGCCAGACACTGCCTGAGAAATAGAAAGTGAAAATGACTAGCCAATTTTCACTGCTTAAGAGTGAAATGAAAGCAAGTCATCTGCATAAAGTGACAAAGTTAAACTTAGAACTTTAAAATGTTAAGGTGATGTTTGTAAGCAAGAAAAAAACTTTACCCTAATCACAACCCTTCAACAAAAGCAGAAAGGAAGCATCAGGATTAAAGATACAATAGAGAATTTACAAATGATATTCTCTACTCACCTCTAGACAATAATCCTTGAGTGGGTGAAATGTTGCAAAAAAGAAATGCTCCTGAATGCGTTGCCAATTCTTCTTGGCATTCCTAAGGATTAAAAATATGGTATGAGCCACAGACAAATGAAACAACTCTGGTGAGGGGAGAATCAATTCAGTATCTTAAAGGGTGGCTGCAGAGTTGAGAAGGAACAGAAAATTTTATGAACTTTATCCTAAGATTTATACACACCTCTCCAAGATCAATACATACTTTAAAAACTGACACTTAATAAATTTCACATTTTGAAATGGAACCTTAAACCTATGTCTGGCAGAAAACTCTTTTTTCCAGGAGAGAAAACCATTACATAAAAGTCACCTTTTCTACTCCAAAGACTCATACCATGCAGCCAAGTTGTACCTACTTTCACAAACCAAACAAATTTACTATGAGCAGCGTTTAAATTTTTAAAACATCTGTTGTCAAGTTTATGTTTTAAAAGGCAAAAAAGGTAGGGATAAAAGTTATACAATATGGCAGGCAGGTTTCAGATAAAATTCATGATCATCAACCCATAAACTAAGCAGCAATTTCAAGACATTTTTCTGGCAAGATCACGCTCCTGCCCTGACCAGTGTGTCTTCTTCACTCCCTGGAGTTCCTATGCCCTCCCCAACCCTCTCACTATCAGCAGACAGCCATGCCTCACACATCACAGGAGACAGGAGTGAGAGATCTTTCTTCTTCCTGCCACCTCCTTACCCACCTGTCCTCTTTTCTCCTTCACTGTCAAGAGTCTCTCTTCAAAGGGCAATACCCTGCCCCGCAACAGATCCCATTCCCCTGGGTTTTGCCCTATCTCCCCCAACTTCCGCATCTCCCCTCTTCTCTATTCTAGCCTTTCCTTCAGCCTTTTCAAAAGGGCTTTTGTATCTAGTCTTAAAAAACAAAACAAAACCTTATTAAAGTGTCCATCAGTAATGGACTCAAGCGATATCCTAAGGCAAATGGAATATTAGGTAGCTGTTAAAAGAAAAGCAAGTTTACTGGAGTTTCACCTTTGGTGGGAGAAGGAAGGAGACTGTCTCGTTTTCATTCGATGCCTTTCTGCACTGTTCAACTTCCTGACTATGAGTATCACTTAAAAACAACTAATGTTACCAAAAATGAAACAGAAGCCCTCTTTTGACAGCACCCCCACCACTAGCTGTTGAACTTTCTAATATACTATTTTTTGAGAGAATTTTCTAAATAAGTTGACTCTGTCTCACCTTCATCACCCATTTTTTGAAAAGTTAAAGACATGAAATATTTTAAATATTCCGAATATTCAGGTAAAGAAAATTATAGACACCAGTAAACCTACCACTCTGATGTAATATATGTTAATGTATCATCCTATCCACATTTGGACTTTGTTTGTTTGTTTTTTTTTTGAGACAGGGTCTCACTCGGTTGCCAGGCTGGAGTGCAGTGGTGCAATCTCCGCTCACTGCAGCCTCAACTTCTTGGGCTCAGGTGATTCTCTCACCTCAGCCTCCCGAGGTGCTGGGACTACAGGTGCATGCCACCATACCCCGCTAACTTTTTTTTATTATTATTATTTTTATAGAGAACGGGGTTTTGCCATGTTGCCCAGGCTGATCTTGAACTCCTGGGCTCAAGCAATCCACTCACCTCGGCCTCGCAAAGTGCTGGGATTACAGGCGAGAGCCACTGCAGCTGGCCCCCTCTTGTACCTATTTTAATTTGGTTTCAATCCCCTAATTATGCTATCGAATGGCTCTTGATAAATCCAGTCAGTACTTTAGGCCCTTGTTTACCTTACCTCAAAGCCTGTCCATTTCTCTGTCCCTCTACTAATCTCATACTAATCTAAATCACAATTTTCCTCCCACTCTCTCTTGCTCACCTCCGATCTGCTCTTCACACTTTAATGCAAAAGAAAACTGGATGACGTCATTCTCAAGTTTAACTTTTTGCTGGCTTCCCCATTCACTCAACATCAACCCAAGCCTGGCCCTGGCTCCCTCCATCTTGGGACTGCTCTGTTGCTTCCCTCAGCCAGACCAAGCTTGCTTTAGTTAAAGCTCTGGGCAAATCAAGTGGGGCTGGCCGTTCCCAAACACAGTGTCTTCTGCACAGAAATCTCTTTCCTTCAGTCTTCATTGACCTAGCTCCTATTCATGCTTTAGATTTTAATGTAAACATCATGTTACTTAGAAAGGCTTTCCCTAAACCACCCAGACTGAACAGTCTGTATTTCCTCATCACCACATTTACTTTTCTGTGATTTATTTTAAAACTTTCCTCATCACATTTACTTTTCTGTGATTTATTTTAAAACTTTAAAAAATTGCTCTGATTACTTGATGTCTATTCCCATTTGACTGTGAGTCACATGAAGAAAGAGGCTCATCTACCTGGCTAAGCCCCAGCACCTGGCCTTGTGCCTGTCACAAGCCGATCCCAAGGAGGTATGCAATCACAGAACAGAGGTGGCTTAATGCCCAGGGTGCCTTATTTATTTGTTTATTTATTTTTGAGACAGAGTCTTGCTCTGTTGCCGAGGCTGGAGTGCAGTGGCGCAATCTTGGCTCACTGCAACCTCCACCTCCCGGGTTCAAGAGATTCTCCTGCCTCAGCCTCCCGAGTAGCTGAGATTACAGGCGCCTGCCACCACACCCAGCTAATTTTTGTATTTTTAGTAGAGACAGACAGGGTTTCACCATGTTGGTCAGGCTGGTCTCGAACTCCTGACCTCAGGCGATCCACCTACCTTGGCCTCCCAAAGTGCTGGGATTATAGGCATGAGCCACTGCACCCAGCCGGATGCCTTATTTTGATTGGCTATTTATCTCCTACCTGGTACTGAGATTTTTAAAGTTATTTTTTAAAAGTGCGTTTTATTGCTTAATAAAAAATATGACTGGAGCCAATTGCTTTTAGAAATCAAAACACAGCTACCAACAAATTTAGAATAGGATCAACAACCAGGATCGAAATGTCTCAATACCAAATAATCACTCACCATCGAATCACAGAGACAGCTACAAGCTGACAAATGCCTATCTGCGTGTTAAATTATGGCAATTCCCTCAAACTCCCTTCCATTAAGGAAGGGCTGAAAGTCTATGGGGTAACTATACCCTCTGTCCCCTGGTTACCTATCTCTAACCATCAAACACAAACAGCACGTAAGTTCATTAAATTACATAATAAAATATGATTAGCAGCAACTTTGGTAGCTTGAGTTTGGATTACTGCATGATAATGCAAATGCGATCCTGAGAAATATTAATGTTCAAATCTACACATGTAAACTCAGCCATGTATTCACCAAATAATAGGAAATACACCATACACCAAGGAGAAATAAGACATTTAAGGTCCCTTGAAAAGATCAAGATTTTTAGTTTTCAGAGGACAGTTGGAATTGTAGGGGTCCCTGGCAATGCTACAGTGAATGACTAATTTTGATGACCAGCCTTTGCTGGGCCAGGCACAGGAAGGTCATTCTCCAGTATACAGAACTGTGCACGATGTACCAGGAATCCATTCCCGCCTCTGCTCTCTGTCCCTCCTCTGGAACCCATCTCCCCACAGCTAACTCTCTTTTTCTCCTGCTACTCCCCTGTTTTATTTCATGCTATTTACTTTTTTCTCCATTTTAGTATTTATTTGTATTTATCAAATATCTTTCTCCCAAGCCCCTAAAACCTCCCTTACCCACTTAATGCCCAAATGCCTCTTTTCAACAAATGCATCAAAAGTGAAGGGAGGTAGAAAGGTACATTGCGGGCCAGGGAGGTACCCTCGCCCCAGCCCCATATGAAGCTACACAATGACTCAGTCTTATTTGTACCATGTACAAATAACTTAATGGTCACGACCAAGACTTCTACATGTTACTGGTTTTCCAAATGCTATTTCATTTGCCTATTATGCTGCTTCCAACACTTAACCATTTGTGTATATAAATTAGTGGGTGCTTTTTCAGCTTTTAAGATGAAAAATCTTTTATGTTGGTTGATATTGCCTGTGTCTCTAAAATTTAAAAAAAAAATCCAGAATTCCTGGATGGCAATAATCTATGATAATAATAAAAAGGCAAAACAGCACCACCTCAGAGATAAGGAAACAAGCGCAGAGACCTGGAGATGCTTATGACACTGCAGCCTGCTTCTGCACCGTGACAGGTGCGGGGAAAGAGAGGCAGACATGGGAACCACCGTGGGGGCTTCACAGACACTGGGTCCTGCACCGCTCCCTCACCCCATCCACGTCACTTGCTTGATACTGAGCTTCCATGTATGATTTTGTCTGCGGAATAGGAGAGTTCTCTTAGAAAAGAAAAAAGCCTTTAGCTATAACTAGTATAGCTGAGAGATTAAAAGTATGTCTTTAAAGTCAGGTCGTGCCACTTCTAAGCAGTTCTCAAACAACAAAGGATGACATTTAGCTATACTGAAGAGAAACAGGTACAAGTATGTAGAAGATTATTTGTACAATAAAGGATTGAGGATAAAAGGGCAATAAGAGGTCAAGGTGGAGCTGACAATGAACTGTAATTAACTACACCCCAAAGTGAGCTGCTTAGGCCTGGCCCAGTCCAAGCCCTCGATGCTCCAGGACGGCAGCATGAGGATGTGGAAGGAGAAGCTGACACAGTATGGGCACTGCCCCCTCCCTGTGGGCCCTGCTGGAGGAGAGTGAGGGCGATGAGGTTGACGAGGGCTCCTTACCCTGCTCCGTGCATGCTTTCCACTTGATGGAGGCTGGATTCAATCACAGGAGTCAGGGCATCAAATTCTTCAACACTTAACACTTTACACACAGTCCAGAGTTTCTTAAGAGCAACTAAAGCATACAGTCGAACACTAAAATTGTGATTGAAACACCACTGCAGCACAACTATAAGGGCTTGCTTCAGAATTAGTTTCTGAAAAGAAAGGCAAAAAATTCCTCAAAACACAGACATGGACCATTTTACTCTCACTTGTATGACACAAAAAAAGTACACGAATGATACAACTGCTCCTAGTAAAACTTCTTCCACTGGCTTTGCTACCAGGGCCTCTCATTCTTCCCTCCTGGTCAAATGCGGTGCACAGGCATTTGCAATTTACTCAAGGAAAAACACATTCTCCCAGCTCTAGTTTTCATTAATGCTGCAGTACATTTCCCCCCGCCCCCCATACTCTAGTACCTGAGTTAACTTGAAAAAAGTATGTTTTATGCTAACCATTATACAACCAAAATGTTTTTCAAATGGAGCCTCCATCTCCTATTATCTTAATTTGTGCTGAGAAAGTCAGAAATAGTCTTCAAGAGTCCCACTTCTGATGGCTTGAAAATGCTCCTAGAGCAAGATACCACACAAAGTGCTGTCCTCCTCCTCACTACTGATTTCTGAGCTACTCTGTCTTCCCTAATGGTGATCCTGGACCCACACAGTACTGAGTAGTGGCAGGAAAATTAAGAAATGAGGGGGAAAATAATAAAACTGTTTAAATTTCCTTGTAGTCTTTTCCTGTGAACTTTAGTCTTCACAGCCTGGAGATGTCAAGCAATCCCTTGCTTTCTAAAATCACATGGTTCAACAGACACTGAAGGTCAAAGGAAGTGACATATACTAATGAAGGAACCAGACGGACCCAAACTTTTAATGAAATATCAGAAGCTATTTTGATGCTCCTACCAAATGCACTTCTCCCCTAAGGCTCACATGGAAATGCTTACCGGCTGCGCCTGGCAGCCCAGTTTCTACTGACCAATTCAAAACAACCATATTCACACAATAGTTTACCAAAGGCATCAGCATGGCTGATAACACACTTGTTACTCTAAGTTTCTCTGAGAAGGATAAAAACAGAGATAAACAATCCTCTTTCTCTCATTCCTTTACTCAACATGTCATCAACATTTATCAAAGGTCAGTGACTGTACTGCCAACATTACAAGGTGTGATGTTATGATATACACTGGTTTTTGTCCACAATTCCTGTCTTATAACTCCCATAGCCCTTGTTACAGTCTTTTGTTATAACGATCCCATATGGAAGGAAGTCACTTGTGCAGCCCACACTGAAGGAGTGAGAAGTCACGCTCCCCCTCCCTCAGGGCAGAGCTTCTATAAAAATTACTTGTAATTTTTTTTACAAGAGATTTGTCTTGTCCATCCTTTTTTTTTTTTTTGAGATGGAGTCTCACTCTGTCGCCTAGGCTGGAGTGCAGTCCTGCAATCTTGGCTCATTGCAATTTCTGCCTCCCGGGTTCAAGTGATTCTCCTGCCTCACCTCCTGAGTAGCTGGGATTATAGGCATGTACCACCATGCCTGGCTAATTTTTGTATTTTTAGTAGAGACGGGGTTTCACCATGTTGGCCAGGCTGGTCTCGAACTCCTGACCTCAAGTGATCCACCCGCCTTGGCCTCCCAAAGTGCAGGATTACAGGCATGAGCCACAGTGCCTGGACTCATTTATTGATTCAATCATTTATTTATATCGGTGTGGGCTCGAGGATATTTATTTTATTCTTTGGGTTGTGATCCAACACTGCTTTATTTTGTTGCTCACACTGTTTCAGCTTCAGCCACTGGGAACATCTTCCCTCTGCATGCCCATCTCACATCACTGTATGTATAAAGTTCTGCCTTGCTCTCTGACTCTACAAGATGCTCCAGGCTCATCTTGTATACTTTCTGCCCTAGTTTTAGAATCAGCTATTTCTCCAGCGATCCCTGGTTCGTTTTATTGGAGAATGGTGTTAGCAACCAAGATCTTGGAGCTAGGTATACATTACTCGTAAATGAAAAAAACCCACTATAATTCTCAATAGGGAAAACAGTGCTTCCTATGGAGCCCACACTCAAAAATGTTGGCACTGCCAGTGATCGCTCGGCTGGGGCTTTCAGGACGTAAATGATGCTTTCATACATATCAGTGTAAAAAGCTCTGCTCGTGAATTCTCATGTCCGCTCATTTTACACAATGAGCAAGCTGACAGGACAATACACAACTATGAGCATAATTAAGAAAGGTTTTTTTTTTTTTTCCTTTTATAGGAACACTTCGTGCTCTGATTCTGAAACCGCCTTTGCAAAATTGTAACTGAGGTGGGGAAAGAGATCTGACCTAACCAACTCCATCTTGCTTCTAACCTCCAAGCTGTCCTTGTTCATTCCTGGGTGTAGGCTCAACTAACTTTGGGAGAAACTTAGTTTAGTTTATAGTTTAAAACAAAGATGATAACAGCCCTTTCCCAAGACAAACCCCCTTCTTGTCTGGGGACTAGATTTCCTTTGTAGGACTAACAAATTAGCCTCAAGATTAGAAATTATGGTTCAGGAGTCATGTAGCTGGAAGCTACAAGATTCTGACCCTCCCTAAACTGCTCCTATGTCGGTGCTCGAGATATTTTGCAGACCTGCACTCGACGGATCAGCTGGCACCACCCAGATCGATTAACTGGCTCATCTGATCTCGTGGCCCCCACCCTGGAACTGACTTAGCACAAAAGGACACCTCAATTCCTTATGATTTCATCTCCGACCCAACCAATCAACACCCTTGACTCACTGGCCTTCCCCCTCCCACCAAATTATCCTTAAAAACTCTGATCCCCGAATGCTCAGGGAGATCGATTTGAGTACTAATAAGACTCCAGTCTCCTGCACAAGCAGCTCTGTGTACTCTTCCTCTATTGCAATTCCTGTCTTGATAAATCGGCTCTGTGTAGGCGGCGGAAGAGGTGAACCTGTTGGGCGGTTACCACCTCTGTCGTGTGTGACAGTTGTTTTGAATCTCTAATTGCTCAGTACAGATCCCACATGCAGGTTAAGTAAGATGCTTTGAAGAAAATGGAAAGTCTTAAGTGATTGCTTCCAAGAAATCAAACCTACATTTATCTAGGTAACAACGGACTTTACGTATCACAAATGAAGAGACTGACAAAGTAAATCAACTTGGCCTTTTCTTAGGTATGTCAAGTCAGTTTTTTTTTTCCTAAGGTGTTGAAATGGAAATTCTTCCATTTCACTAATTAGCATTCCTTTTTGGATGTTTCGAAAATAAAAAATAAATCTAAAATATGTAATAAACGGCAAGTACAAAAAGGGCTTGACAGAAAAATAACATGTTACTTTTACCAGATCTAACATGAACATCTTCTAAGGTAAATTCGTTTTCAGAATTTGTCTAAACTATTCTTAGGCTATTCATCTACCCCGCAACAGGACAATGTCTGCTCTGTTTTAGCTTTCTCAATAGATTGTAAGCAAATCTCTTTGCGGCACATATTTAAAACAGAAAGACAACATTTGATCTTATCTGATGCCAGAGCCTTCTTGATCTTACGGAAGATGTGAACGAGTTTTCCTGGAACTGTAACACACTGCCATCTGGCTGATACACACTGGAAGACACCATCAATTTAAAAGTGTTATCATGATTTTAGAGGAAAATGTGGTGTGGAGAAAGGCCTGTCTTTGAATGGATGAAATAGGTTAATAAAAAACATCACTGTTTAAAAACTAGAACACTGAAAAATTCTAGGAAAGCTTATTTTCCCTTATATTTTTATGGTACTTTCAACACTTAATAACACTATTTCAATTAAGTTTTCTCCTAGAGTTTATAGTATATCAGTACATTCTTTTCTGTGGATGCAATAATATAGAATCTTATTCCAAATCTTACTGGCAGGTTCTCTTAAATTCTTCAACGGCTGCCATAGTGATTAACCAAAATTAGTTATGATTTCTGCCTATCTGTGTGAGAACTTACAGGGGAAATTGTTCTAAACCTGAGGAACATGAAGTAACTGTACTGCACACTCCAAATGATGACAGTCATTTTATATCACCTTCAATTACCCAACAGCTTTTAATAGTCTGGCCATAAGTTTCTTTGCACGAGCATTTGTTAAATAACTACCATTCAGTCAAAGAAGGTAAGGGAAGTCCTGTTTAAAGAATCCTAAGTAATCCTAATCCTAAGAATTATAAATAATTATTAATTTTATACAAGTATCAACAAAAACTTACCCAGTAGTTTGTCTATAAATTTGGTATGTACTCAAGCACACCTCAGTGTGTATGCATGTAAATGGGTAATTCCCATTTACTGGGTATTTGTGTCTAATACATGTGCACATTAGCAGGGCAGTGGAAAGGAAAGGGAAAAATTGCAAACATTCACAGGAATGCTCTACATATAAAAAATTGGTACAAATACATACAATTCTTTTTTTACAGTCAAGTTTAAATTCTTACAAACAAACTTACCTTTTCTGGAATATTTTGAGTAATAATGTCTAAATGTGATAAAACTGCTAAAAACGTACAAATGCTTGTTTTAAGATTTTCTTCACCCTGAAAAAATAATCAGATAAACAAATATTGATTCAAAGCTTACTGTGAAACATGCACGTGAAAGCGCCGTGCTGGACTCTATGAGGGCCCAGGACAGGAGGCAGCCTCTTCCCTGGAACAGCCCGGGGTCTGGGTGGGAAGGGGGCTGCGGCAACAGGCACAGGACTGAAAGCAAAGGAAATATTTCCTAGAGCCAAATGCCAGTGCACACAAAAATCAGCAGGTCACATAAAGTACTGAATAACTCAACTCTAAGTACAGCGGGGCACAGTGGCTCACGCCTATAATCCCAACACTTTGGGAGGCTGAGGCGGGTGGATCATTTCAGGCCAGGGGTTTGAGATCAGCTTGGCCAACATGGTGAAACCATGTCTACCAAAAAATACAAAAATTCGCTGGGCATGGTAGCGCACACCTGTAGTCCCAGCTACTGGGGAGGCTGAGGTAGAAGAATTGCCTGAACCCAGGGCAGAGTTTGCAGTTAGCTGAGATCGTGCCACTGCACTCCAGCATGGGCAACAGAGCAAGACCCTGTCTCAAAAAAAAACATAAAATAAAGTACAGTGTGCCCTCTGTATGCACGAGTTCTGCATCTATGAGTTCAACCAACCGTGGATGAAAAATATTTAACAAAAAATTTTTAAAACATAATGCAATTAAAAAGTAATACAAAGTTTAAAACTGTATAACAGCGATTTACATAGCATGTACATTGTACTAGACATTATAAGTAATCTAAGATTATTAAAGTATATGGGAGGATACACATCAGTTATGTGCAACTACTATGCCATTCTAAACAAAAGACTTGAGCATCCTCAGGTTTTGGCATCCGTAGGGGGCCTGGAATCAATCCCCCATGGATACCAAGGGTTGATTATCTGTGGCAGAGCCAAGGGCATGCTCACTTCAGGAGAGGTGAGGCCTTCAGGATGGGAAGGACTGGCCTGGAGAAGGAGCAGGAAGGTTAGAGAACAGATAAGTGAACAAGAACAAAGACACAGAGGCAAACTTAAGGGAAAGGCAGCAAGAGGAGACAAAGCCAGTTTGGCAGAGAGTGATGGAGATAAGGCTCAAAAGTTAAATGGAATCATACTGTAGAGGCTTTAAAAAGCTATAGCGAAAAACCTATAGAAGACTTAATCAGCTATCTTAGGGAAAATTTTTTAAGAAGACTGTTCAACTGGAATCTGGAAACCTCTGATTCCAGTTGAAAAAGACTGTTCAACTGGAATCTGAAACTATTATTATTTCATAATCATAGTGGTTTTGGAATAATACATTATTTTAGTGATAATAAACTGATAAATGCCAGACAGATTGGAAAGAAAAGAGCATATAAGCAGGAAGACCAGTTTGGAAACCAATCCAAGAGGCAAATCATTTATTATTATTTAATTCCTTTATTTAATTAACAGTTACTGAATGTCTTCTACATGACAGTTACTATAGAAACAAGTTCCTGTAACTTAAAAATCTACTGGAGAAGATAAAAATCAAATCAGATTAAAATCCTAACTGTAAGCAGTACTATTTATGTGCTATGAAAACCTAAAATAAGGGGATCTAAATACTTGGGGAGGTAACTTCCTTTAAGAATGACAATATGGGCCTGGGCGCTGTGGCCCATGCCTGTAATCCCAGCACTTTGGGAGGCCGAGGCAGGTGGATCACAATGTCAGGAGTTCGATATCAGCCTGGCCAATATGGTAAAACCATGTCTCTACTAAAAATACAAAAATTAGCTGGGCATGGTGGTGGGCACCTGTAATTCCAGTTACCTGGGAGGCTGAGGCAGGAGAATCACTTGAACCCAGGAGATGGAGGTTGCAGTGAGCCGAGATCACACCACTGCACTCCAGCCTGGGGGACAGAGACAGACGCCGTCTCAAAAAAAAAAAAAAAGACAATATGGGCCAGGTGCAGTGGCTCATGACCAGCCCAGGCAACATAACAAGACCTCACCTCTATAAAAATTTAAAAATAAATTGGCCAGGTGTGGTGGCAGGTGCTTGTAGTCCCAGCTACTTAGAGGGCTGAGGCAGGAGGATCATTTGAGCCCAGTTGTTCAAAGCTGCAGTGATCTATAATTGCCGGGTGACAGAGCAAGACTCTGTCTCAAAAATAAATAAAGAAGACACATGAACTGAGATGTGAAGGGAGAGAGAGTTATCTAGATAAAGAGAAGAAAGAAGACCATTTTGTGTAAAGGGCACAACATGTGCAATAGCCTGAAACCAAAAGGACTGGTGATAAGCAGGAAAGACTGAAAAGGTCAGTGTGGTACTCAGTTATCTCGGGTGACCCCCGGTCAACCAACCCTCCCTACATATGCCCGATGCAGGCCCCTTCCACCCCAGCAGGGATGGTCATGTGATTTGCTTTGGCTGGTGAACATTAGCAAGCCTGATGCATCCAGAGGTTGGATGAGCACTTGCATGTCAGGACATGACCCGCCTGCGCCCCCTCGACCCCCGACCCGCCGGAAAGCTCATTCTTGGAGAACTGAATATAAAGAGGTCCAGCTACCCTGCTGGAGACACAGAGTGGGAGCGATGCCTAGCCACCAGAGCTGCTCCTGCCATTGCAGCTGAGGTGACAAATATGTGAGCGAAGGAGCCATTTGGAAGTCCCAGCCCCAGCAGACACCACAAGGAGCAAAACTGCCCAGCCAGGCCCAGACAACACACACATCACGAAAAAAAAGCAGTGGCTCACGCCTGTAATCCCAGCACTTTGGGAGGCCAAGGCGACATGGTGAAACCCCATCTGTACTAAAAATACAAAAATTATTTAGCTGGGTGTGGTGGCATGCACCTGTAATCCCAGCTACTCGGGAGGCTGAAGCAGGAGAATCGCTTGAACCCGGGAGGCAGAGGTTGCAGTGAGCCGAGATTGTGCCATTGCACTCTAGCTTGGGCGACAAGAACGAAACTCCATTGCAAAAACAAAACAAAACACATTGTTTACACCGCTAAGCTTTGGAGAGTTCTAGCAACGGAAAACAGACAATCAGTGTGCCTAGGTAGTGAATTGAGAATAGACCACACAGAGAGACTAGAGAGGAAAGAGGCCTAAGATCACGCAAGCCTTACGGGATACTCCGAGGAGCATAGTCTTCATCCTGAGACGACGTAAGACACTGTGTTCAGCAGGTGGGGTCACCTGTTGAAATTCTCACCATGGAAACCCTGCCTGGGCTTCAGGGTGGAAAGCAGATGGAAACAGAGCCAAGAGTGGATGTAGGCAGCCCAGTGAGGGAACCACTGCAAGGATGACAGTAGCGTCGACTGAGATACAATGGCAGGGACAGAAGAGAGAGAACTCAGAAATATTCAGGCAGAAAGATCAGGACCTGGTCACGAATCAGACACAGAGCATGGAAAGTGTCAAGGTTTCTGGTTTGTGCAACTGTATAGATGGTGGTGGTATTCACTAGAGTAGGAAGCAGATCAAGTTTGAGGGGAAAAATAAGGCACTCAGTGTTACACATCTACGTTTTAGGTTATTTAGTCTAAGGGAAAATCATCTACAAGGAAAACGTCTACAGCAAGGGTCAGAAAACTTGTTCTGTAAAGGGCCAAGCAATACACAAAAACATGGCTTTGTGGGCCACGCAGTCTCTGCTGCAACTGTTCAACTCTGCCACGTTAGCACAAACACAGCCACAGACAATATGAAAATGCATGGACATGGCTGTGTTCCAATATAACTCTGCCAGCCCAAATTTGGCTGTAGCTTGCCAACTCCTGATCTAGAGTCAGGGGAAGATGTGTGGCATACAAATACTAATGAGTAAGTCATTCACATTAGGTAATATGTGAATCCACAACACAGATAAGACTGACTATAAAAATAAGAAATTAATAATAATAAAAAAAGCCTAGCTCTAGAGAAGCACCACCATTTAAGAGGTAGGCAGGGAAAGAAAAGCCTGGAAAGGACACAGAAAAGAGGGCAGGAGGAACCAGAGAAGTGTGTGTCACTAGAAGCAAGAATAAGAAAATGGTCAGCAGCATGCATGTGGCTGACAGAAGAAGACAAAGGCTGACCACTGACTCGTCAGTCAGTCACTCTTGACTCCTGCAACAGTGTCTTCTGAGAAGTAACTGAACTGGAAGCTGGTCTACCATGGATTCAAGAGTGGGTTGGGAAGGATGTGAAAAAATAAGGCTGGGCGCGGTGGCTCATGCCTGTAATCCCAGCACTTAGGGAGGCCGAAGCGGGCAGATCACCTGAGGTCAGGAGTTCAAGACCAGCCTGGCCAACATGGTAAAACCCATCTCTACTAAAAATACAAAAATTAGCCGGGCATGGTGGTGCACACCTGTAGTCCCAGCTACTCAGGAGGCTGAGGCAGGAGAATTGCTTAAAGCTGGGAGGCGGAGGTTGCAGTGAGCCAATATCGCACCACTGCACTCCAGTCTGGGCGACAGAGCGAGACTCTGTCTCAAAAAAATTAATAAAATTAGTAAATTAAAAAAAAACTAAACCTCTGGAACACAGGCACCTCTTTCAGGAAGTCTGATGATGAAATAGTAGAGAGCCAGGGTGATTATAGGAGAGGGACGAGAAAACATCCAGTGTAAATATCCACAGAAAATGGATGCAACTCGAGCCTGTTGAAAAGCCAATGGGACCATTTGGCTAAGGAGAGACTGAGGATAGAAGACAGGCTGATAGCAACAAATGCCTGAGAAGACAGGAGGGAAGAGGGCCAAAGACTCAGTGGAAGAATTACTCTGGCACTGGAGAAGATTCTACTCCTTTATGGTAAAAGGAAGAAATCTCAGATGGATACTGACATAGGCAGATTTGTCTGATTGCTCTAGAGAAGATTTAGGTATTCCTAGGTGGCAACTGTTATTTTCTCTAAAAAAATAAAGGTTAAGGTAATTTGCTTTGAATAAAGGAGGAAAAGGGTGTAGTGGACAACTGCCCCTTTCTTTGATATCTATCCTGAATCCCCTTCCAAGTTTAGGGAATTCTTCCATCTTATGAGTGTTGGGGGACACTGAAAAATGCCAGGTATTCATCTTCCCAGCCTCCTTGCCACTAACAAGAAGGCACCTGACCCGGTTCCAAAGACTCCATTTCTGATTCCTAAATTGAGAACTTACAACTTAGAGAAGCAGAGCTCACAGAAAACCCTCCTCCACTGCAGGCAGCAGAGACAGTAGGTATACAGCTGGCTATAGCAAAGCCCTGCTGAAGGCACCGTGTGTCCAGTGGGGTAATGTCCCCAGTGAACTAGCTCTCTCTGGCCTGCCTGTGGTTGCATTTCTGGAAGCCACTGAGCCTCCCCTGTTCCTGCCAATTTTCCAGTTCTGATTCTGTAGCTTTCCCGGTGTTCTGTAAGCTACCTACTACTCCCCTCTTCCCCACTACCTTTTTTGAATCCCATTTTGATTCCATCAGCAAAAGCTTCCTTTGCCTACATCAAAAACTCTGTCTGATGTCCACAGGTAAAATCAGATTCGAAGAGAATATACAAGGTCTAATGACGAGTGAGAGGCTGAGCTAAGCAAATAAAAGTAACAACTGGCACTACTGTGGATGGGAGCACCAGGAAGTTTTGGGGGTACACCAGAACCAACCTGCCCTTTGTGAGAATTCCTGGGGCAGTGCTAACCCATTTGAGAGGTGACATAAACAAACTACATTAATAAAGCTATGGATCTAAAAGGCAACTCAAGGAAAAATAACAGAATCTGTTTCTTCATTATAGGAACACGAAGATGAAAAAGAAGAGCCAGAGGAGCCTGGAAAGAGATGAAAATTTTTGAGACGGAGTCTCACTTTGATGCCATCTGGAGTGCAGTGGCGTGATCCTGGCTCATTGCAACCTCCACCTCCCTGGGTTCAAGCTATTCTCCTGCCTCAGCCTCCCAAGTAGCTGGGACCACAGGTGTGCACCACCCCACCTGGCTAATTTCTGTATTTTTAGTAGAGACGGGGTTTCACCATGTTGGCCAGGCTGGTCTCAAACTCCTGACCTCAAGTAATTCTCCCGCCTCAGCCTCTAAAACTGTTGGGATTATAGGCATGAGCCGCCACTCCTGGCCAAAGCATTGTCATTTCTTAGTGGTGTGACGACTCACTTAATCGTTGTTTTCTTCATAAGGGTAAAAACTCCAACCTGTCTTTGAGGATTATGGTGAGGCTGCTGTTTCTGCTGCTTATGGTGACACCCAGGTTTTAAGCTAGGAGACTGGGAGAATGAAAGACATCAGAAAGGGGAGCCAATTTCAGGGCCAGATGCTGTTACCAGTTTAGTTTAACACAGGGTGAAGTTTGAAGTGATTATGGAAAGGCCCTGCAGGTGGCTGGAGAAGCAGGGACCGGCCGAGATGGGCTTTACTATGCTAAGGAAGTGCAGAAAGAGAAGCAGACAGGCTAACCAGCGACTCTTCAGATAAAACCAAGCATAAGGGTTGGGAGAGGGAAGCAAGTATGTGAAGGAAATAGAGAAGTTATCAGCACAATAGGAAGGGAATTATGAAGTTGACTGCAGTGTGAGGATCAGCTGTGGAGAAAGCCACTACCAATGCGAAGGCGTGAAATTAAAGTGGGGAGCATGGAGGAAAAGAGAAAGGCTGTCTGCAGCTCAGATAAAATCCTTGATGTATCACTGTTGAAAATGGAGTGGACCTCAGTGATTTGAGGAAGGCAAAGATCACACATTGAAGTTTAACAGTAAAGAAAGGAAGACACTGGATGATAGCTGGGTGGAGGAAAAGTCAACAGAACAAGCGTGAAGAATTCAGTGAGGTCCCAAAGGAGACACAAACAGGTCACAGGGGATAGATGTGAAAAAAAAGAATAAGGATATCTTTCCTGAAATAGGAAGAAATGGAGAAAGAGATATTTTGAGGAATGCACCTCCATTTTCACACAAAGAAGAAGACAAGATCATCTATTATGAAAGGGAAAGGTGCATTTGGAAACCAAAAGAAAGCATTCAAGATATAGAACTGATTCTTGGAAACAATTTGCTCTTTGTCAGGAAGCCAGCAATGATAAACTCTATCACTAATTTTAGTATCAATTCCTTAAAAATGATTTTCAATATATGAGAAAAGTTGGAAAGCGATTAGGGGAGTGTGTGAGGGTACAGATGAAACAAGAAAGGAAATGAACTGATATTACTTCTATTCTTTCTACGTTATGTTTGAAATCTCCCAAAACCTTTTTTTCAATTTTAAGGAACGCAATTAATTCCTCATCGTTCATATTTCTAAGATCAAACAAAGACATTGCTTGGTAAATAAGAATACGGAATGCACCTATTTCCCTTACTTCTTAATGACAAATGCCTTTTCCATCTTTATTTTGTTGAATAGAACAGCTCTCAAAAACTATGAAATATTCAAAATGAATGCCAGGGATTTCTGTCTTCTGAATTAATTCAGATCTTGCAAAACATAACTTATGATGTCAATACAATAGGGCAACTGAGAGTCAAAAACAACTATTTAAGTGAAACAAATCTCCCAGCATTGTCAAAATCATGTCTTAGTTTAAAAATATATAAAAAATATTCTTTACTTACATAAGAAAAACAATCCCAGAACTTTGGAAGAAATTGAGGGAATTTATGAAGAATCAATATAATAATCCATTCTATAAAATATTTTATGGATGCTTGATTGTTGGTGAAACCAGCCTGGAAAATCCTGTCAATAATTCCATTCAAGAAATTCTGAGAAAAAAAGTTCACAATTAACCAGTTACAGTTATTCATTTTAATTTAAAAATAGTCTCCATTTAAAATAAAATAGCTTAAAGTTTTTATCATAAGTAATTTATTGGATCTACAACTCTCCGAGCAAAGACTCTAAAAACTACTGATTAAAATATAATGATGAAGTACCTTCATTCAGTACTTTATAATTTACCTGGACATCAGTTCTATCTATAAGGAAGGTTATCCATCACCTGTATTTTTACAGGGAAAGGAAAAGACTCAGAAAAGCTGAATAACCCTCCCAAAGTCACATACCTAGTAAGTGGAAGAATTCAGGTTCAAATCAAGATCTGCCAAGATGCCAGGGCTTAAACCTTGTAACAAGGGATGGTACAGAGACTGAAGTCAGCAGGTGGGAAACAGCATCCCAGAGGGGCAGGTCTTGGGCCACTGAGCCCTCTGTTCAGGCTCGTCGTCCTCCTGCCCTCATGGTCTGTGTTGCCCCACAACTACCGCACTGTTCTCTGGCTAAGACCTTGAGCTCCAAAATCATCTTTCCCTCTTCCAACCTCTCCTCTTCAAAACTGTATTTCTATCGGGGGACGGAACCTATCTAAGCAGCAGGTGAAAAACAATATCTACTTATATAAGCATATAAAAGTAATATGTATTGGCCGGGCACAGTGGCTCATGCCTGTAATCCCAGCACTTTGGGAGGCCGAGGCGGGCGGATCACAAGGTCAGAAGATCGAGACCATCCTGGCTAACACGGTGAAACCCCGTCTCTACTAAAAATACAAAAAATTAGCCGGGTGAGGTGGTGGGCGCCTGTAGTCCCAGCTACGCGGGAGGCTGAGGCAGGAGAATGGCGTGAACCCTGGGGGGCGGAGCCTGCAGTGAGCCGAGATCGTGCCACTGCACTCCAGCCTGGGTGAAAGAGCAAGACTCCGTCTCAAAAAAAATAAAAATAAAAATAAAATAAAATAAAATAAAAGTAATATGTATTATGTACGTCTTTATTTTAAAGAAGAAAAATCTATCTTACACGAATTTCTACTTAGTAGAAAAAGAGCAGAAGGGCTCATTTTAAGCCCTGAGATAGTGTCATAAAGTGGAGCATACATTTTGTAGTTAGGCTTGATTTTGAATTCCACCTCTATCATTCACCACTAGCTGTGTAACCTCTCGGGAAGGACACCTAACCTCTCTCAACTGCAGTGCTCTTAGAGGCAAAATGAGAATATGTATGGCCTACCTTGGAAGACTATCATGAAGGTTAAACAAAACCATAAGATATAACAGTTTACAACTCTGAGCTCCATAACAGACTGCTAGCTTTCCTTTTTCTTGCAGGTGTGCCCGCTCGGACATTTCCCCACCCTCTCCAACATTACCCTTCTCTCTAGGAGACCCTCTCCATTCTAAGAAAAAAATGCTCTCGGTAATCTAGTTGAGCATTTCTAAAATGTTTCCTTTTTTAATGCATCCTTATGTTTAATGACATACTTTAAATCAAATAATACTAAAAGACCTATGATGAAAAATAGCAACCTCCCCCACCCCCCACATCCATCAAAACTACTCCCCAGAAGCAATTCTTTTAGCTATTTCCTCTTAAATTATTCCAAATTGTTTTATTTGAATATACTTATATACTTACACTGTTACTATTTCTCTCTCACAGATATAAGACTTCATAAGATTGTAAAGAAAGAGGCTAGTATATATATTTGTAATTCTCTCACACATTTAAAAGAAGGTAGGGAGGACAGTAGGAAATTTTCATGTCTGAAAGATGTTTTTTGCATTGAAAAATGTTTTTAAAAATTGCATGAGTTATATACCATCACTTTCTCATAATGATGATCTATTTTCTCAACAGGAATATTAGGCAAAGATGGTTAGAAAAATCAGATCGTCCATTCAACTGTTTCTTGCCTCCTCAGGGAAGAAAAGGTAACTTTGGATAAAGATACTTTGTTGTAAGATACCTGGCCTTTCCTTAGCTGGTTTGTATGGTCACACTATTCATGAAGTTAAGGGCAAGGAAATCCACCATGTGAAACAATATTCCCATCCCAAATGATACAATTTGCCTGGTTTCTACAGTACAGATAATCCAAAACAGTGTAACACTCCAAAATAACGTAGCTACAGAAAATTAGGAGTTAAGTATTTGCATTTTCTAATCAAATGGCAAATCAGACTTTAAACAGTTAAAATGTCACATTAAAACACCGAAGGGAAAAAAATATTAAATGGGGCCATGTAAACCCACTTCTAACTTATTTCTACAATACCTAATTGCCTTGGTATTCTCTCTGTTAATAAAAACTTTTGAATAACTTCAATTTTAAGAACTGCAGAATAAATTTTAAACATTATCTTTTTCAATTTTAAAATAGTATATGATAGTTTCTGCAAAATAGTTCAGTCATGAAATCATATGCTTCAAAGGTACAAATATAATAAAAATATGATACCTGGTCAAGTCTAGGGAAAAGTACCAGCAGAGTCTGCCACACTCGGTTTTTCACTCTGTGCTGTAGAGAATTCACATAGTAGCGTTTTTTGGACTTGGACACTAATTCATCCTGGAAAGGAGAAGGGAGGGAGTCAACATTAAATTATCTATTGAATTTGTGATTAATGAAAAAATCAATGACAACTTGAAATGTAAGTGGCTTAAATTAGGCACAGGGGCTTTTTCTTCCCCCAAAAAGCAGTTAGGAGGATGAGAAAAAGAATGGCACCTTAAAATATTTCAAACATTGACATTTTGGGCTGAGTGATTAAGAAAAATAAAAAAATTTTTAAATAAAACACTTCAAACACTGAACTTAGTTGCTTTTAACTTACATGTTTTTTGTTTGTTTGTTTTCTTTTTTGAGATGGAGTCTTACTCTGTTGCCCAGGCTGGAGTGCAATGGCGTGATCTCAGCTCACTGCAACCTCCGCCTCCCGGGTTCTAGCAATTCTCCTGCCTCAGCCTCCCGAGTAGCTGGGACTACAGGCGCCCGCCACCACACCCAGCTAACTTCTGTATTTTTAGTAGAGATGGGGTTTCACCATGTTGGCCAGGCTGGCCTCGAGCTCCTGACCTCAGGTGATCCACCCGCCTCAGCCTCCCAAAGTGCTAGGATTACAGGCATGAGCCATGGCGCCTGGCTAAGTGTTTTTAAAATTAGAAGAGGGCCAAAAAACTGGGAGCTATGGGTTCCAGGGGCGAAAAGAGATTGAGATACTGGACATATATTGCCACATACTACCATGTACCTCACAGGCACTTCTCACCTTGTGCCCCCGTGTCATATTCACATTTGGAATACTGGTATCTACAATCTGATGCAAACACCACTAAGAAGCCACCCCAGTACATGGACAGTGCAAGGCATCTCTACGCATGACGTGTCTCTCGACACAAGAAAATGGCAGCACTGAGCCTTTCCTAGTAACAGATAGCTCTCTCTGGCTTTTCATGGCTTGTGCCGCCTAAATTCAGCCAGCTGCAAGGTTTGCTTTTATCACCATAACTATTAGTGCTTTGGCCATAAAGCAAGATGGCACTGAAGAGTATGTCAACATTCTCAAATGTCTTAAAGGTGAAAAGTCATTCACCACCTCCAAAACCATTTTCACATAGTGTAGATGATCCTCATCTACTTCATAACTTCTCTGACCTTTCTTCTTCCATAATCTCGTTCTCTGCATTTTAGTGTATATAAAGTTTCATGACAATAGCTAAATTAATATAGATTTTAATGACTCCAGTGATGTTTAAAATCTCATAATCTCTATATAATTTCTGTTAAGAATTTTCTTCTGATATAGGTGTGTTTAGGTTTCACATACTGCTCAACCTCAATGCAATTAAAAATGGAATCAGTAGGGTGGATCATTCACGCATTCAGAAGAAGCATCTTCATGTCAAGAAAGCTGCCCTTAGGACCTCACCAAGTCACCACCCTCAACTGGAAGTTGAGAATTCTAAAATTCCCTTTCAGCTCAAAATCTTCTTCTGTCTTTCTACTTGTTCCACTCAGTGTGCTCCTTTACTCAGAATATCTTTTCTCTACTAGTCTGTTTAACTCATGGCCAGGTACTACTGAAGAAAATAAAAATCACCAGCCACAACTGACTTCATTAAAAATATGTATTCCACACAATGGAGTACTATTTGGCCATAAAAAAGAATGAGATCCTGTCATCTGCAACAACATGGATGGAACTGGAGGTCATTATGTTCAGTGAAATAAGCCAGGCACAAAAAGACAAACTTCTCATGTTTTCACTTATTTGTGGGAGCTAAAAAATAAAACAATTGAACTCATGGAGATAGAAAATAGAATGATGGTTGCCACAGAGGCTGGGAGGGGTAGTGGTGGTAGGGGGAGGGTGTGGGGATGGCTAATGAGTATAAAAATATACTTAGAATGAATAAGATCTAGTATTTCATAGTATAACAAGGTGGCTACAGTCTACAGTAAGTTATTGTACATTTTAAAATAACTAACAGTATAACTGGATTGTTTGTAACATAAAGCATAAATGCTTGAGGTGACAGATATCTCATTTACCTGATGTAATTATTACACATTGTATGCCTATATCAAAATATCTCATACACCCCATAAATATATACACCTACTATAGACCCACAAAAATTAAACATTTAAAAATATGTATTCCAGCTGTATCTGGGCCTTCATTATTGCTAGACCAATAGTTCTTAAACTGTATCAGCTCCAGAATCACAAGGGCTCATTAAAACAGAGTGCTGGGCACCACCCCCAGAGCTTCTGATTCTGTAGACTGGGGGCAGGGCCTAGGAATATGCATTTCTAACAAGTTCCCAGGGATGCTGACGCTGCTGATCCAGAGACCACACTTTAAGAATTACTGCTCTAGACAAGCATTTTGCTTTTTCTAGTCCGTTTTCCAAAGCAGCTGCACTGTTCTGTATTCCCATTAGTGATGCAGGAGGGCTCCAATTTTGCTACAACCTCACCAATGCTCATTATTTTTAGTTTGTTTTCTTGATAGCCATCCCAGTGGGTACAACTGGCTAGTATTTTGCCTATGTGATTATTGCTGGCCTCTCCCTGTCACTTTTCCCTCTCTACTGCACCACTTCCTTCAACATACAAACATGCTCCAATTATCTCCCATCTTTAAAAAGCCCCTTCTTTAACTCCAGGTTCCCCTCCAGGAACGACCCCTGTTATTCCCCCTTTTCTAGGGCAAACTCCTAAGAGACTCTATACTCACTGTCTCCACTCGCTAAACTCCCATTTTCTTCTGAACTGTTTCTACTTAGATTCTCATCCCACCATGAAACGCCTTTGTCGAGGTGACCAAGACAGCTGAATCCAACAGCCGGCCTGCAACCTCCTCGTCCTCCACGCAGCACTACCTTTCCTCGCTTGGTCTCCAGACAGCATCCTCTCCAGGTGTCCTCCTTAATTCATCCAGAGCTCAGCCCAAATGTCACCTGATTAGACCCTCCTGACCCCTCTCTCTTTTTTCTGAATTTTTTTTTTTTTTTTTTTTAGAGACGTAGTCTCACTCACTGTGTTGCCCAGGCTGGTTTCTAACTACTGACCTCAAGCAATCCTCCTGCCTTGGCCTCCCAAAGTGCTAGGATTACAGGCGTGAGCCACCATGTCTAGCCCTGACCCCTTATCTAAATAGCTAAATATATATTATAACATGTATTTTTGTTCTGATAGAATACCCATACCCAGCTCCTATCACTTTAAACTCTACTCATCTTTTAGAAAACCAATAACATACTATTTCCTCTGGGACATCTTCCTTGACTCCAACACTACAGAGAGGGAATTGTTGCATAAAAAATATTTCCAAGGTTTTATATAATAAAGCTGACCTGCTACCTTCAGAAAATAAAAGTATGATGAATACTCCTGTTTTAACAGAGGGACTTCCATGAGTTCTGTAGTCATTCATACATCCACACCAAGGTCAGAAAGCAGACCAGGCACTCCGCTGACCTCGGCTTTAAATGACAGGTAACTGTATCTGTCATTTAAACATTACATGGGGAACAGAGCACCATGCTCAACTCTACCCCTTCCTATCTAACTTGTCTCCAGATTTATTAAACCTGTTCTTCAGACACTAGAGTGTTCATTTAGAAATGATTTAGCAGGCTCAAAAACAACCTAACTGGATTGTTTTTATCTGAATAAATAACGAATTTTCATCAGTCTTAGACAAACATCACACACCCAGATCTAGAAATAACAATATATTACAATGGAAGCAAATCCTGGGGTAATCTTTCACGGGCTCTCAAATCACAGCAATCAATTCCTAACATTTGATGCCATTTTCTCAGTTTTTACTTTTTCATTCCATTTCTTACAGAAAGCAATATATGAATATAGTACTCTAAACATAACTGGGGCCAAGCACAGTAGCTCACACCTCTAATCCCAGCACTTTGGGAGGCCAAGGCAAGAGGATCACTTGAGGCCAGGAGTTCGAGACCATTCTGACCAACATGGTGAAACCCTGTCTCTGCTAAAAATACAAAAATTAGGCCAGGCACAGTGGCTCATGCCTGTAATCCCAGCACTCTGGGAGGCCAAGGAGGGTGGATTACCTGAGGTCGGGAGTTCGAGACCAGCCTGACCAACATGGAGAAACCCCGTCTCTACTAAAAATACAAAATTAGCCGGGCATGGTGGCGCATGTCTGTAGTCCCAGCTACTCGGGAGGCTGAGGCAGGAGAATCACTTGAATCCAGGAGGCAGAGGTTGCAATGAGCCAAGATCGCACCTTCGCACTCCAGCCTGGACAACAAGAGCGAAACTCCGTCTCAAAAAAAAAAAAAATTCGCTGGGCATAGTGGTGGATGCCTGTAATCCCAGCTACTCGGGTGGCTGAGGCAGGAGAATCACTTAAACCTGGGAGGCGGAGGTTGCAGTGAGCCGAGATCCCAGATCATGCCATCGCACTCCAGCCTGGGCGACAGAGCAAGACTCTGTCTCAGAAGAAGAAAAAACAAACAAACAAAAAACACAACCGGGTTTGACTGGCACTGGAAAATACAGAGTGAAGTACAGATGGTACACGAAAAACATTACCATTATTGTTCTCTAAAACCAAACTTGAGTTGGACAATTACTAACCAAGATTTTTTTTCTTTTTTTTCTTTTTGTAGAGACAAGGTCTCACTATGTTGCCCCAGCTGGTCGCAAACTCCTGGCCTCAAGCAATTCTGCTGCCTCAGCCTCCCAAAGTGCTAGGATTACAGGCGTGAGCCACAGTGTGACCAGCCCTAATCAAGACTGAATTAAAAATACAGAACATAAACTTTGTGTTTTCTCCTGACAAAAGATATTTAGAAGTACATATTCTAGCAACATAAAGAGCAAATGTTGACCTCTGACTGTTAAAAACAAAGATAATTTAAAGTAAAATACACTTACTTTATCTAATAGCTTGATTGCAAGATCCTCAATAAACAACTTGTGGGACATATTGGAGCCATCTAATAAACACAGGAATTTGACAGCACAAATTCTCACATAATGGTCTTCTCTCTTAGTACTAAAAAAATTAAATGATAAATTATGTTAATACATTTTGAAAACAGAAAATTAACATCAAATATTAGTTTCAAATATCATTACACGATCAAAACCTCTCAAAGTTTTCTAAAATTAAGTAGGTCCATACTTAATGACAATACTTTTTAATTTAGAATAGATAACAGAAGATAACAAATGAATATATTACAAGGAGGGTCTATACAGAAAGTATGAATGAGCACAAATTCATCCAGATTTCTGGAGAATCAATGCACACGCTGCTGAACCTAGTTCAATAATACCTTATTTGTGGACAAAACAGATCACAGCTCATGAGCCTATCCCTGAAAGAGGACCACAGATACCTCCATTCACTCAGGGGCATGATACACATCAAACACGTCAATGGCCTGTCTCTACCATGCACTATCGGTGCACATTCTCCAACTGAGGGGCAAACTCAGGAAGCACTGTGTGCTCTCAACACCCGGCATTTTTAGTAGCCAAATGTGGAAAGATAAATTAAGTGAAATCGTCACATTCCGTTATAATTGTTCACATTTCATTATAATTGTTATAATGTGAATAAATATTTTAATTTAACAACAAAGTAACTGCCTAGTAGAAATCAAAATCAAATTATTTGGCAACCACCAACTAGAAAAATTGACTTTTATTGCCACACTAAGCCAGCCAAGAAAAAATAACTAAAAACAATGAAAAAAATGTATATCTTTCATGAGAAGTGACAGATGATTTACAACACAGTTAGGACTTTCAGAATAATAAATACTTTATGATAACTAAATATTATAATCATTTGATGTCCTAAACTCTAAAATTAGAGTGAATGATACAATGCTATTTTAATCATCTCTATAAACACACGTACACATTTTTGAAAGCCATGTGAAAAAATAAAACTTGAAAAAAAGCTATTTGACAAGCTCCAAAAAAATTAATTCAGTGGTTAGATAAAAATAGTTTTATCGCAGAAATCAAAACTTAGGGCCTATCCCCACACTCATCAAGTTGTACACATTAACTATGTACAGCTTTTTACATGTCAATCATTACTTCAATAAAGAGTTTTAAAAAAACCAAAAACTTCAGAGTCTGTTCCAAGAGTAATTCTATTTTTGTGTGTAACATACCAACTTGTTAAATGGTGAATTTTAATTTCATATTAAACTTTACTGCCAAAAAAAGGACTGGAGAATAAAGTGTCTGTGCTGATAATCATCCCATCCCCGCAAAAGAAAGACAGGGGCTTTAAGCTCTCCATAGTCATTTCCTTGTTTACGCTGGAGTCGGCACTAAAAACTTTTAAAATTTTATCAAATTCTAGTGAATACTGAAAGATGTAAAGACAATGTATTAGCAAGGGACTATAATTTCTAACATACTTTTAAAGGCTCATCCCATCTTATTAATATATTAGATGTCACTTATTAAATTTAGCAAATACAGAATGTTTGTCATATGATGTTAAATTTTTAGTATCTCATTTATGTGAAGACAGAGAAAATCTACCATACTTACTTTTCCATAACAATATTTGCCGCACAGTCATGTCCAAGGTTTTCTATGAAGGTCTGTACATCCTGAACAAGTCTTTCCATAAAAAACATTTGATAAAGAACAACAGGTTTTAAATAGAAAAAAAATTAAATCCCCAAGGTTAAAGTTAACTAATAATTTATATTCTTTTAATTGAAAGCCTCAAAACAAAGACATAATTCTATACCCAAGTAGGCACTTAATACAAGTTATGACCAGTTGAAATAATAGCATCTTTTACCTTTGATCACGCCTAAACACAGTTCCAAATATACAAGCCTCAAGGATAAGTTCGCTATAATTTTTAGCACTTGATAAAGATCCTTGGGACACATTTGAAGCAGACACTATCCAAGACTGACAGCAGTAACTTATCAGTGTATTGAAGACTCCAGTCTTTATAGCAGACATTTCAATTATCTTGTACATAATCTGGAATAAAATACAACCGTCATTTTATCCTTGATTTAGTTTTTAAAAAATCAGTGCTGCTAAAAACTGTTACTTAGTTTCAACATAATCATGAACAGTCTAAAAACTGTTAAATTCATTACTGTTAGAATAACTTTGCGAGATGATCAATAATCAGAGAATGCTATTTCATCTCTTGATAATAAAAATAAATAAAATTTTACTGATAGTGATATTCATCCAGGACTCTTCAAGAGAAACAACTGCCAAAGCAGTAGAATCAAAGGGGAAAAACACCTCACCCCACACACATTCAGCTTCCTTTGTTTGCATTTTGCCAGTGGCCTTCCTTTGGCTGAGGCAGCAAAGACCAGCGTCTCTAACTATGTACTGTGGGGCAGAAAAGGACCAAGAAAGGCAGCACAGGGCTGCAGAGAAATAACGGAATCTGACTCTCCCTGTTCCCCTGGGGATCAGGAGGTACACTGGAACTCCACCTTGGTATGTTCCTATCTCAGTAGCTGCAAATGAAAATACCTCCAGAAACCAGCAAGACCTTTTGATAAGGGTTACAGTCAGAAAAATATTTCTCTACACACACAAAAAAAAACCTCAGCCAAAGTGCAATGACAAATGGCGCCTGACATTTGCCTTCAAGTATCCGGGTGAAATGAGACTGATTGTGGAAAGAGCATGCCAACTCCTACTCAACCGAGCGATCAATTACATTGTCATGGAAGAATGACCAG
This sequence comes from Homo sapiens, assembly GCF_000001405.40. NCBI lineage: Eukaryota > Metazoa > Chordata > Mammalia > Primates > Hominidae > Homo > Homo sapiens. The sequence continues at coordinate 234,428,495 of NC_000001.11, forward strand.
TGTTGCTAGATTACCTCATTTCCAAGAAATCCAGTTTTTCATACAGATTTCCCAACTTTTTTTTTTTTTGAGATGGAGTCTTGCTCTGTTGCCCAGGCTGGAGTGCAGTGGCGTGATGTCAGCTCACTGCAACCACCGCCTCCTGGGTTCAAGCAATTCTCCTGCCTCAGCCTCCTGAGTAGCTGGGATTACAGGCGTGCGCCACCACACCTGGCTAATTTTTGTATTTTTAGTAAAGACGGGGTTTTGCCACGTTGGCCAGGCTTGTCTCGAGCTCCTGACCTCACGTGATCCGCCCGCCTCAGCCTCTCAAAGTGGTGGGATCACAGGCATGAGCCACCCCGCCTGGCCAGATTTCCCAACAATTAAAAGTTGCCAGGTAATCAAAATTTTAAACACTGTATGAACCAAACAAACCGTTTCTGAGGCAGATGTGGCTCCAGGCTACCGTTTTGTACCTTCTCTTCTACATCTGTCAGATTTTCTCATTCTTACTCTTGATATTTAAGAAGGTTCAAAAATATTTTTGACTGAAGGAATAAAGAGCCAAAAATCTAATTGTGAATACAACTCTCATGTTCCTCATGTGCTGAAGCTCACACACATGAAAAGAAAAGCAAAAAGAAAAGAAAGTTAGTTACCTCTTTTATTTTGAAATATGCCTGGCCCTTGATTTTGGCAGCAATGGTAAGAACTTTGTTATCAAAAACAAACTGAACAAAAGCTTTTAAATTAGCCCAGAATATCAGCTGAGTGTTGCTTAAAGAAGATATAATTTTCCACGCCATGTCAAAAGACTCTATGCAGAGTGATTCAGAGGAAGTCAGAAGCTGGTAGGAAAAAAAAAAATACATACTTATTTCAAAAACTTGATCGCCACTCCTATAGTTACTGTTCAATTCATGTTTCACTCTATCTTACCTTGGGAACCAACACTTTCAAGCAATGGAACACTGGTAAAACTTGATCAGAAGAAAGAACTGTGAGGGCTTCTAGTGCAGACTGCAAAGTCCTTATTGGCATCTGAACGGCAGGTAGAAACGGTTCCAGAATTTCACTCCCTGTGGTTGGTATAAGGGTGTGATATTTTTTCAACAGGAAAGAGAGGCACACCCATTGATCATGAATATATTGTGCAACTATTTTTCCCCATCCTTGGGAAGATGACGATTCTTCCAAAACACTGAAATAAAAAATAAAGTTACTAGGCCATACTTCCCCAATTTGCCTCCACGTCTTTTGCACGTAGCACACTATCCTTTCTAAAGGTGGGGGGGGGGGGGCAGTGTACAGATATAAATGGTCATTATCAAACAGCCTATCTACCAAAAACTAAGGAAACCACATAAACCTTAATTTTCTAACTTCTCTGAAAGTAGGTACTTTTGCTCATCTGAAATGATTCAGTGAAAACTAGATGCAGAAAAGTCAGCAAGTCTCCAGTAACAGAGATGAATAATGTTATACCACACTTTCATCCTGAATGGAGCTTCAGCCCCAAAATTCTATAACTTTATAAGCAATGTTGGGCAATCATGAACTCACGGTGACAACAACAGAAATGGATTTTTAAGCCTTAACCTTCCCTGTACCTGCTGCACTCCAAGGGGTGAGCATAACTGCTCTGCTCCTCTGCGTGGGGCTTCTGCAGCGTCTGATTGAGCTGAAGAGAGGAAAGGAAGCTTTCCAGGGGCCCAGCATGGAGAGAGTCCAGCTGCAGCTCAGGCTTCTGGTCTATGGCCTCACACACCATGGCCAAGGCAGCCATGCTCACTACTCTCTGAATCTGACTTCCAACTGTTGGCTCCTGAAAAGGAAATGTGACAATGTTTTATTTAATATGCACAAGTCTTAATCAGTAATGACCTCAGTTGCCAGTCTATGGAAAGCTCAAGCTCTCCTTTTCCCTCTTCCTGCCTGCTCCTGAATATCAGGAGAAATAAAAGGAAATCCAGTACACATCATTCACTTCCACTACTTCTCTACAGATTGGCAGTGAACAATTTTAAAGTAGCAATAAGAACTCAGCAATTTAGATTAAGACAACAATGGGATCTTTTCATCTGGTAAACAGGTACCTGGAACTAGTACATGACAGATTCGCTACGTACAGAACCCAAAGCTGTGTGTAAGTCCTTCTTGACCTTTCTCCTACTCGCATACACATCTGCATGCAGCATTCCTATGGGTGAGCCTTATTTTAACTGTCTGCTGAAACATGTTAAAAAAAAAAATAAAAGGCTCCAGGTTACAAATAATTCCTTCTATCAGCTGCACGCTACTTTTGGAGAAGTCACGTAGTCCAGCAGTTAAGAGCTGGACTCAGGAACCACAAAGCCCAGGTCTGAATCCTAGCTCTGTGCTACTACCAGTATGAGTGTAGACATACTACACCTTAGTTTTCTCATCTGTAAAATGGGGACAGTAACAGAATCTACTTCACGGGGTTATTGTGAAGATTAAGCAAATGGGTTACTGCATGTAAAACACTTGGAACTCTACACGTAGGAAAGGAGGGTAGCCAAGACAACCTGGTCTATACTTAAAGAGAAAATCGACAATCTCTCACCAAGCTAGGAGTGCAGGCAAGAAGTCAGACACAGAAAACAACAGCACTGAGAGATTACAGCAGTTCCCTCAAATACTGCCAACCAGTAATGTCTGTATCAGAAAGGAAATTTCTACTTATTCCATACCCCTCTTTCACTCTCCAAAAATAAATCAACCATCTCTACAGAAAAATTTTACATATCAACACTGCCAACATATGAAATAGAATTTAGTGTTACCTTTGAGCCAACTATCGTCCCTGCTAACCTTAATGTAATTCAGTGAATTACTAAAGGAAGCCGATTTTTAAGAATAAGAGTTACTGTGGCATGGTTCATGGTTTGGTTGTATATTTAGAACTCACAATGTTCTTTCATAACACTAACAGACTAATAGGTACTAGACAGGATGCTGAAATATTAATCATCGTCTTTATCATTTCCTCCTAGAATTAAATTATTAAAGCAATCGAGTATCTTCTTTGTTTTTCTTAGTAGCCTGGATTAGTTACACTGATTGAGTTCAACTTATTAAACACTTACCACATGTTAAGTGAAAATGGCTAACTTTTATTGAGGACTGTCTATCTGCCAGGTACAGTTCTAAAGACTTAACATGAATGAGCTTTCTTTAATTCCCACATCAACTCTATAATCCCCATTTTGCAGGTGCAGTAAATGAGACACAGAGGGGTTAAATAATGTAGGTCACACAGCAAAAATAAAGCCAGAATTCAAACCCAGCAACTCTAACTCCAAAGCCTGTGCTCTTCATTACTAAGCCTTATTGTGCCATGTTTAAGAAATGCCTTGGCCAGGCGTGGTGGCTCACGCCTGTAATCCCAGCACTTTGGGAGGCCGAGGTGGGTGGATCACCTAGGTCAGGAGTTCGAAACCAGCCTGGCCAACATGGTGAAACTCCATCTCTACTAAACACACAAAAATTAGCCAGGCATGGTGGCGGGCACCTACAATCCCAGCTACTCAGGAGGCTGAGGCAGGAGAATCGCTTGAACCTGGGGGGCCAAGGTTGCAGTGAGCCAACTGCACAACTGCATTCCAGACTTGGCAAAAGAGCGAAACTCCGTCTCCAAAAAAAAAAAAAAAAAGCCTTGAGGCCAGGCACGGTGGCTCACACCTACAATCCCAGAACTTCAGGAGGCTGAGGCAGGCAAATTGCTTGAAGTCAAGAGTTCGAGACCACCCTGGCCAACATGGCAAAACCCCAACTCTACTAAAAATACAAAAATTAGCCGGGCATGGTGGCACACGCCTGTAGTCCCAGCTACTCGGGAGGTTGAGATAGGAGAACTGCTTGAACCCAGGAGGCTGAGACTGCAGTGAGCCAAGATCACGCCACTGCACTCGGTCTGGGTGACAGAGCGAGACTCTGTTCAAAAATATATATATATAGGAAAAGATATATATGCATACATTACTCCAAAAACAAGAAAGATGGAAATACACACTACAAGTGAGGCATAAAGAGCAACAGGAAGATGAAAGAGAGTGAGATACTAATCGAAGAAGACCTCTAAGAGAAAAGAGATTCCAGTTGGTCCATAAAAGGGGAGACCAGATGCTGCCAAGTGTATGCTGGAGGAGAGGGCACTCATTCTCCACGGAGGGACCAGACTGAATGACAGCCTCCATGAGGAAGATAGGACACATGCTTGTGATTTGTAAAACTCTAAGTAGCCTAGAGTGGCTGCAACGTCACGGCACTGTGGGAAGGAGGGGGAAAGGCATTAGACAGTGGACAGCTAGGCTGAAAAATGAGGTAGGAAGCCAAGCATGGAGGGCAATGATGTCAGACTATAAAATGTCCTTTACTGGACACGTTTGGGCAAAAGACCTAGTACAGGTGAAATGTCTATATCTAAATGATTTTAAGATGATGCCTCTTATATGTTTAATATTATATTAAGAGTATCACCTGTAATCCCAGCACTTTGGGAGGCCAAGGCAGGCGGATCACGAGGTCAGGAGTTCGAGACTAGCCTGGTTAACATGGTAAAACCCGTCTCCACTAAAAAATAGAAAAATTAGCCAGCCATGGTGGCACACACCTGTAATCCCAGCTACTCAGGAGGCTGAGGCAGGAGAATCACTTGAACCCAGGAGGTGGAGGTTGCAGTGAGCCAAGATGGTACCACTGCACCCCAGCCTGGGTGACAGAGCCAGACTCCATCTCCAAAAAACAAAAAGTATCAATCTTAACTACATCTTATCACTAGAGGGTATATTTTAAAACTGAATTTTAGTTAACGCTTTGTATGGTATCAAAATAGTGTATAAGAACTGAATATGTATTCCCTGTATGCCTTATTCAAGATAACTACAAACCTTGAATCAAAGAGGCTTACCTGTCCACTGTCCATCTCTTGAAGATGCTGAATGGATGCATTTTTCAAAAGAGAAATAACTCTCCAGATAGGGTTACCCCTTTTCCACCCAACCTTCAAATGCAGATTTATAAGCTCAGTTAACACCATCAGGTATAAATGGCAACGATCCAGATCTGAAACCTAAGACAAGGATTAAAACACTTAAGGGTACAAGCAAGGTCCATGATTTTCACAAAACTACAAGCCTTCAGGCAGGAGAAGTTTACTTAAAGGACCACAACAAGACACTGATGAGAAAATAAGTTCTTTTCTCCAAGCAGCCTTCCATAACCTCCCACGCAGAGCTAAGGACTTCCTTCTCTGTGCTTACACAGTGACTGTGCATTCAGCACAATTATGGTGCATTTCACAGTTGAGTCATCTGTCTCCCTACCTATGAGGGAGACCTTAGATGGCAGAAATTACCATCTACCAATTCTTATGTCCCTAGGGCTAGTACATCATAAATAATAATGATAATGGTTATAGCAATGACTACTTCCACTGTTTACAAAAATCACTTCTCACAAAAAAGATCACTGTCCCACTTTCATAAGACAACTAAGTTTCAGAGAGGTTAAACAACTTAAATGCACATTTTTTGACTCATAAACCCAGAAAAAAATGGGTTCAGCTCTACCATGCACCAGCCCTGTGACATAGGACAAGTTATTTAACTCTTCACTACTAAGCCTTATTGTGTTAAGATCTCATAATTCAGGTGGGGAGATGGATGACTCAATTGTGAAATGTGCCATAATTGTGCTGAATGCAGTCACTGCCTAACCTTGTCCTTGTCCATAATATAGAGATAGTAATATTTATCCATCACAGGGTTTCTGAAGGAATCAATGGGAGAAATTATTACTATATTAATATATCATTACTATACCAGAAGAGGCCTCCTATGGCACATAGAAAGCACACAGGAAGTAATTTAATCAGTTTTTACTGAGCAACCACTGGACGCCAAGCACTTTGCCAGGTGCTGGGATACAGTGCAGACAGAAGGTAACGATTACAAGACTGAACAAAAGGGCAAGAGTGAGGGATGAAGGTGCCAGGAAGGATTCCTAAGTTTTTGGCTTAAGAAACTGGCAGGATGGTGGGACATTCACTGCGACAGTAACCTGGAGAACCTCCTGTAGGAATTATAATGAGGGAGTCAGTTTTGAACAGTGTGAGAAATTCGACTGACACCATCATAGAGCAAGCAACTATGGGCGTTAAGCTCAGAAGGGTGGTCTGAGGTGGAGACAGAGATTTGAGGGTCCCTGGCAGAACTGAAGCTGGGGATGTAGATGAGATCATCAAGTGACAGGGGAGAGAATGAGAAAAGAAGGGGTCAGGGACAAGCTTTAAAGAGCTCTGGCTTCAAAGGTTAGGGAGCAGAGAATGGACATTCAAAGAAGAAATGGAAATAATGGCCAGAAAGATGCAGGGGCTGGGGCAGGAGAAGCATGAGAGAATGACATCATAGAAGTTAAGCAGTGTTTCAAGGGGGAGGTGGTCACCAGTGTTCGCTGGAACTAAAGAATAAAGAAAAATACAGTTTGGAAAGTATCCATTAAGTTTATGAAAAAGAGTCGCTGACATCTTTAGTGAGAGTCATTTCTGTGTTGTAACAAAGATAAAAGTCAAATTAGAATTAAATTGAGTCTGCTTAAAGAGAAGGACATAGGGCGCTAGAAGGGAACATGAAATTGAGAGACGGTTCTTTCAAAATGAGGGACCCTTGGCTGGGTGCAGTGGCTCACGCCTGTAATCCCAGCACTTTGGGAGGTCAAGGCAGGCAGATCACCTGAGGTCAGGGGTTCAAAACCAGCCTGACCAACATAGTGAAACTCCGTCTCTACTAAAAATACAAAAATACAAAAATCTACTAAAAATACAAAAATACAAAAATATTACAGGCGCGGTGGCGCACGCCTGTAATACCAGCTACTCGAGGCTGAGGCAGAAGATTGCTTGAACCCGGGAGGTGGAGGTTGCAGTGGGCCGACATCATGCCACTGCACCACAGCCTGGGTGACAAAGCTGCTTATTTATTTATTAAATAAATAAATAAAATGAAGGATGCTTAAACCTGTTAAAATGCTCATGAAAAGAATTCAGGAGAAAAGTAGTAGTTGAAAACACAAGAAAGAAGACAATCAATAGTGTAAAGTGCTTAAGAAAATAGAGACGGATGAAATCCCAATTTCCTTACTCTCTTGTAACAAAGGGAAGACAGGGAGGATGAATTCAGGTGTGGTTGAGCATATAGCGTAAGTCCATACATCTGGCAACTGGAAATTGAGAGCATTCCAGCCTGACAGCCACTATTTCCTCTGTGAACTAAGACAGGCAGCGGCGTAGCAGCAGACCCAGCCAGCATCGCAAAGACCGAAGATCATATCTCTTTCCAACTCAGTGGCCTCACATTGGTAGGCTGAAATCGGCCGTGGAAATTGGTAAATACTACAGAGGCAGGCTCTTTTTTCCCCTAGAGAGTCAGTCATTAAACACTGACCAGCACACTGCTGACAGGGGAAAGTGTGGGAAGAGAATTTTATTAAACTCTAAGCTACTAAACAAACGTAACTTAAGTGAGAATTCTAATTAATTTATTAAAGAATGGCTTTTTCAAAACAACTTAAAACTATCATATATGGAATTACTTTTTAAAATCTTTGCATCTAAAAGATAAAGTAACATCAAGCTCTCCCTCTGTTTTTAGCTTCAAAATCCAAACAAACAAAAACATGTTATATAATGGGTCATCATATAAGCATAAGGGAGGGTCATTAAACTTCTTTTGTATATGTTTGGAAATTTTCCATACAAACAGGTAAAAATAATACTGAGGATAAAAAGTGGTATTGGAGCAAAACTTAAATTTTAAAGTTACTTAGATATTTAAATGACTTCTTGGTTAAATACATACACTGATTCTGTACCCACAAAAATTAAAAATAAATAAATGCCTTCCTAAAAATGTAGGTGTACTAGAATTCATATTAATGATTGCTTGATAAAAATTAAGGAAGATATAGATAAATATTCCCCACTCCAAAGAGATTTTCATAATAGCTTCCTTGCCTTTCTATAATAAAATCTCAAGTCTTTCAGTTGAATACTTGTATTTTTATATTTTCATACCTGTGTAAGCTGTCAAACAAATGTATTAATATTTAATTGGGTATTTAAATAAAAGTTCTTAAAGTAAGAATGCTTTCTTATTTTATTGGCAATGTAAGCATTCAAATCATTTCAACATTTGTCCCTAGAGATTTTAAACAAACAAACAAAAAATTAAGACATTCATATAAGAACTGGTATTTTCAAGGTATTCTTTAAGGGGAAAAGCTTGTTTAGATGTCCCAAAAGAACAAATTATGTACAGTCTAGAGACAGAGAAGACAGCTACAGTCACAGAGCATCCTCTACACCTAAAACCTAATTGCATTTAAGAATCACTGATGGAGCTTTAACACACACGCACCCCCACTCAGGGTCCGGTCTCAAAGCTGCCACATCAGAATCTTGGGATTGGGCTCCAAAATGCATTGAATGTGTGTAGTACTTCAAATATGTTACATCATTTGAAACTCTCCAAATCCTTGGATGTAAATGGGGTGAGGCTCAGAAGATCTATGTAACTTGCCCAAGGTCACAGCTAACAATACAGATGGAATTGGAACTAGGAGACCCCAAAGTCTAAGGTTTTTTTTGCTGCTTCCTAAGACCGCTTCTTGAGAAAATTAATTTTTCTTTTCAATTTAATACAGTGTCAGTAATCACTCAAATATTGGTGAAAAGAATGAAAGAAATGAAAAAGAAAGTTATTCCACTGAATACTTACACTATTTAGCTCATTCATAGTAAGTCTTCTGAGAATAAATTCAGAAATGCTCTCTGTAGTAGACATGAAAAAGTTCTGAAGAACAGTAGACACCTCATCTGTATGGGGGCAAAAAGCATGCAACTAAAATGACAGCAGTTCTTTGGTACAAAACACACCAGATATTCTAGTAAATGTACAACTGGGCTAAGCACGTGAATCACTTGCCAAAAATAAATTGCAATAATATAATAATCATTCACCCCATGGGGAAAGCTATACTTAATCTTAAGTCACTTAGGAGTTCCAGTTGTGGGTAGGATGGATCAGGGACACTCTTCCCTCCACCACTGAACAGAGCTATAAAACCTAGACAGAATGCATGACGCAGCTATTTGAAAACTCTACAAGGAAAAAATAGCAGGTGGATTCAGAGAGAAGTAACACTGAACAGTGGTGAGTTTACTAATGTTTCTCCCTCTGGTCCTCCTCCCAATTGTAACCAGATGCAGAAGCAGTCAACAAGGTGGGCAGCAGAATGGGCGCCAGCTTTCTGGTCAGGCAACGAAACAGGAGAACTCCAGGAGAGCAGACAGTGAGTACTGGATTGCAGACAGGGAGGGATGCAGGAAAGTGGCCTCGGAAAGCTGTTTATGAACTCCTGGGCTCACCTCCAAGCTGCACATGCACGGATCTGATGCTAATCAGCACACCACAGACTTTCAGGACTGAATGAACAGAGTTGCCCACTGGCCAGTTCCCAGAGTGGCCAACAGATGGAATGCATGTGGCATGGGTCCAAAGAGCATGGCAAAGGAGGTGAAGACAAAACTGACAGCAGAAGCAGCACCCACAGAAGCTAAGTCAGAATGTGAGGCCTCAACCTAACCAGGTTGACTGTGTACTGGACAACAGTATCAACATTCTCCACAGGATTTAAATAAGATTCAGAGTTTCATATTATAATATTCAAAACAGCTAGGATATAATCCAAAATTACTAAACATATGAAGAACCAGGAAAACCCCAGCTGATATGGAAAAAAAAATCTAGAGATAACACCAATAAGATGACTTGGGTGTTAGAACCGTTTGACAAAAATCATTAAAGCAGCTCTAATAAAAATGCTTTAGCAAGCAATCAATGACAATCTTGAAGGAAATGGAAACTAGAAATCCTCAGCAAAGAAACAGAAGATATATAGAAAAACCAAATAGAAATTTTATAATTGAAAAGTACAATAACTGAAATAAATTCACTGAATGGGATGAATAACAAAGGAGGTGCGAGAGGAGTCAGAACTTGAAAACAGATCAACAAAAATATGACATCTGAACAACGGAGAGAAAACTGGTTGAAAAAATAAGAAGCAGAACTAGACATCTGTGGGATAATAACAACGATCTTATTTTTTCAAGCCATCACAGCCCCAGAAGGAAAAGAGAAAGACAGTGGGGCTGAAGAAGTATCTGAATAAAGACACGGCTGAAAACTTTCCAAATCTGATAAAGGGTATAAACCTACAGATTCAAGAAGTTTCAGGGAAATCTAAAAGGATACATCCAAAGAAATTTATGCCCAGACAAAGGGCAACCAAACTGCTAAAAACAAGCTTGATGAAAAAACAATCTTGAAAACAGAGAAAAATGACATTGCCAAAGAAAAACCTGACTACTATGGAGTTCTCACGAGAAACCAGAGGCAAATGGAACAGCATTTTTAAACTGATGAAAGATAAGATCTATCAAGCCAGGATTTTATATCCAGAAAAAATATCCTTCAGAAATGAAGGTGAAATAAAGATATTCTCAGATGAGGGAAACTAAGAGAACTCACTGCAACAAATGTGTTCCAAAAGAAATGCTAAAAGAAGTTTTTTTGAACAAAAAGGACATGATGCCATAGGGAAATTTGGAATATCAGGAACAAAGGAAGAGCAAAAGAGACCTGTAAACATCTAAGTAAATATAACAGGCCCTTTTCTCTTGAGTTCTTTAAAATTTGTTTGTTGGTTAAAAGCAAAAATTATAACATTGTCTTGTAGGCTTTTCAACAAATGTAAATATAAGACAACTACCATAGACAGGGGAAAGGGGGAAGGGCCCTATCAGAAGGGAAGTTTCTATATTCACTTCAAGTGGTAAATATTAATTCCAAAGAGACTGTACAAAGTATATGTACTGCAATCCTAAGGCAACCACACACACACAAAAAAAGGCTGAATTTAAATGGAATACTAAATAATGTTCAAACTGCCCAAAAGAGAGTAAAGAGAGAAATGAAAAACAAAGGCCCAGTGTGGTGGCTCATGCCTGTAATCTTAGCACTTTGGGAGGCCAAGGTGGTTGAATCACCTGAGGTCAAGAGTTCGAGACTAACATGGCCAACATGGTGAAACCTCATTTCTACTAAAAATACAAAAATTAGCCAGGCATGATGGTGGGCACCTGTAATCCCAGCTACTCGGTAAACTGAGGCAGGAGAATCGCTTGAACCCGGGAGGCAGAGGTTGCAGTGAGCCAAGATCACACCATTGCACTCCAGCCTGGGCAACAGAGATTTCAAAGTTCCTCTCTCAGTAATAGATACAAGGAATAAATAGAAAATCAGCAAGGATATGGAACTAAAAAACACCATGAAAACTCTTGGATATAACTGACATTTATTGAACACGTCAGCCACTAGTAAAATAATATTCTTTTCCAGAGTACATGAAACATTCACCAAGATAGGCCATATCCCACATAAACTTAAAACAATTTTAAAAACTGAAATCATATGATATATGCTCTGCGACCACAATGTAATTAAATTAGAAAGCAGTAACTAGGAAAGTCTCCAAAGATGTTCTAAATAATTCATGGGTCAAAGAGAAAGCTTCAAGGAAAGTTAGAAAATATTTTGAGATGAAAATGCAACATGCCAAAATTTGTGGGATATAGTTAAAGCAACACTTGGAGGAAAATTAATAGCACTGTCATTTCAGAAAACAAGAAACGTCTAAAATCAACAATCTATGTTTCTGCCTTAACACTAAAAGGAAAAAAAGGCAAAATAAACCAAACCCAAGCAGAAAGAACCAAACAACAGAAATCAATGAAATTGACCAAAAAAAAAAATCTATAAAAAAAAAATCAATGAAACCAAAAGCTGGTTCTTTGAAAAGGTCAATAAAATGATAAACCACTAGCAAGCCAGAGACAGAGACAGAGAGAGAGTGCACATGAGTAAGCACGCACACACACACACACAAATTATCACTATTAGGAATAAAAAGACAGAGCTTACACTACAGACCCGACAGGCATTAAAAGGGTAAGGGAATACTACAGACAATTCTACTGCCCCTATTCACAGATGACATGATTATCTACAAAGAAAATCCCAAGGAACCTTCAAACAAACCAACTCCTAGAATTACGTCCTTCAGCAAGGTTACAGGATACAAGGTCAGCATACCAAAATCAATCATATTTCTATATACTAGTAACACACAGTTAAAAATTGAAATTTTAAAACTATCATTTACAACAGCTTCCCCTCAAAAGAAATAGTTATAAATCTTACAAAACCTGTGTAAGATCTATACGCTGAAAACTGTAAAACTGATGAAAAAAATCACAGACAACCTAAGTAAATGCAGAGACAGGCCAGGCGTGGTGGCTCATACCTGTAATCCCAGCACTCTGGGAGGCTTAGGTGGGCAGATCGCCTGAGGTCAGGAGTTTGAGACCAGCCTGGACAACACGGCAAAACCCCATCTCTACTAAAAATACAAAGATTAACCAGGCATGGTGGTGAGCACCTGCAGTCCCAGCTACTTGGGGGGCTGAGGCAGCAGGATTGCTTGAACATGGGAGGTAGAGGCTGCAGTGAGCTGAGATTGCACCACTGTACTCCAGCCTGGGTGACAAAGTAAGATCCTGTCTCTAAATAAATAAATGTAAGGAAATACCATATTCATGCATTAAAAGTTTCAGCATAAGAAAGCAATTCTCCACAAACTGATCTATGCATTTAATGCAATTCCAGTCAAGATCCCAGCAGGACTTTTTTTTTGTAGGTACATATAAGTTGATGATATAATTTATATGGAAAGGTAAAGGAACTAGAATAGCTAAAAATATTTTTGGACAAAAACCACACTACCTATTTTAAGACTTATTATAAAACTACAGTAACCAAAACCTTGTGGTATTGGCAAAGGAATAAACACTTAGATCAAAAGAACAGAATAGAGTCCAGAATTACATCAACACAAATACAGCCAAATTAATTATTTGTCAACAATTTTTTGGGATAGAATTCACAGAGCATTCAATTCCCCCATTAAAGGTATCTAATTCAATAGTTTCTCGTACAGTCACAGATATGTGCAACTATCACCACAATCAATATTAGAACATTTCATCACCTCAAAGAGAAACCTCATACCCTTTAAATCATCGGGCCCTTAACCCCTATTTTCTCCCTGCCCTAAGCAACCCCAATCTATTTTCTGTCTCTAGAGATTTGCCTATTCCGGACATTTCATTTAAATGAGATCATATAATATGTGGTCTTTAGTGATCACCTTTCCCTTAAGATAATGTTTTCAAGGTTTATCCACGTTGTAACATGTATTACTACTTCATTCCTTTTTATGGCTGAGTATGTATAAACCACATATTATCCATTCATCTACCCATCTACTTTGGATTGTTTCCATCACAGCCAATTAATTTTTGACAAAAGTACAAAACAATTCAACAGAGAAAGGATACTCAGTCTCTCCAACAAATGGTGCTGGTGCAACTACACCAGCAAAGGCAAAAAAAACTAACCTTGACCTAAACCTTACACCTTAGAAATTAACCCTAAAAATATCATAAGTCTAAAAGTAAAATAATAAACGAAGGAGAAAAATCCTGTACGACCTGGGGCTAAGGCAGAGTTCTCAGTCGTAATACCTACTGCACGATCCATAAAACAAAACAAAAATAAACTGGATTTCATCAGAATAAAAACTTTGGCTCTGCAAAAGACACTGTTGAGAAAATGAAAAGATAAGCTGCAGACAAAAAGAAAATATGTGCAAACCACATATCTGACAAAGGACTAACTTGGCAGAAGATTTAATAGACACTTCATAAAATGCTGTATCTATCACTCTGAGAAGTGTTCATTAAGAGATTACATACATTAAAAATTAATTTTAAATTTTCATGTTACCCAGGGGCTATATTATATAGCCTCTGGAGTATCTCATGAGTCACTTGCCAGGTCAAGAAGCCACCAGCAAATGATTGGAAAGTAAAAGCCTTTATTAAAAAATTAAAAACTATAACCAATGAATATGGGAAAAACAGAATACTCTTGTCTTGCATATTCCATACTACTCTTTCTGCCTTTTCTTTCTCCTATATATATAGTCAACTCCTTAAATATCAAACTTACATTAATAGCATAAAATAGATTTACTTTCCTCATATATAATCAAACCCATTCAATTAAAATAAATTTGAGATTTCAAGGGAAAGCTTAGGCCTTGGAGAAGAGAGAACAAAAAGACTTGAAGAAAAGTAGCTGCCTTCAAGGTATCCAATATTATCATCCCTACCCCAGTGGCTCCTCTTAATTACCGCAATACAGAACAGCCTCTATCTCACCCTCAAGGCACATTCCCTGGTCACTGCCACATCTCTGAATTTAACACCCTGTCACAATATACAAACTGTGGGCAAAAGTTCAAGCCAGAATAAAAATTATGGTTTGGGGCTGGGCACAATGGCTCATGCCTGTAATCCTAGCACTTTGGGAGGTCGAGGCAGGCGGATCAGCTAAGGTTGGGAGTTTGAGACCAGCCTGACCAACATGCAGAAACCCTGTTTCTAATAAAAATACAAAATTAGCCAGGCATGGTGGTGCATGCCTGTAATCTCAGCTACTCGGGAGGCTGAGGCAGGACAATCACTTGAACCCGGGAGGCAAAGGTTGCGGTGAGCCAAGATCGCACCATTGCACTCCAGCCTGGGAAACAAGAGCGAAACTCCGTCTCAAAAAAAAAAAAAAAAAATTATGGTTTGGTTTCCTAGTCTATGCCTCATATAATGTATAGTAGTAAACTGAATCCCAACAGAAGTGGTACCAGAATTAGTCAAAAAGCAATCACAGTCAAAATCATGATGAAGTAGCACTTTATACCCATTAGGATGGCTATTATTTTTAAAAGCCCATTAACGAGTGTTGGAGAGGATGTGGAAAAACTGGAACCCTTGTGCACTACTGGTGAAAATGTAAAAAGGTACAGCCACTGTGGAAAAGTGTATGGCAGTTCCTCAAAAAATTAAACAGAATTACCATATGATGCAGAAATTCCACTTCCAAGAGAATTGAAAGCAGGGACTCAGACATTTGTACACCCATGTTCACAGCAGCATTATTCACAAAAGAGAAGGTGAAAAAAATCCAATTGTTCATCAACAGATGAATGGATAACCAATTATAATCTAGCCAAACAACAGAATATTATTTGGCCTTTAAAAGGAATCAAAGCATGATACATGCTACAACATGGATGGACCCAGAAGACATGGTGTTCAGTGAAATAAAAATAAGTCAGACACAAAAGGACAAATGCTGTATGATTCCACTTCTAGGAGGTACCCAGAGGAGTCAAACTCATAGAGACAGAAAGTAGAATGGTGATTGCCAGGGCCTGGGGAAAGAGGAAAATGGGGAATTAGTGTTTCACAGGTACAGAGTTCCAGTTCAGGAAGAGGAAAATTGGAGATGGATGATGGTGATGGCTGCACAACAGTGTGAACGTACTTTCTATGTCACAGAACTGTACACTTAAATATAGTGAAAATGTAAATTTTACTTTATGTATAAAACTATCTATGCATAAAACTAACTATGTATAAAAACCTACGTCAGGAAGAAAAGTTCCAATAGACAAGAGATTACTCCCACAAAAAAAGCGAGACTCAGCAAAGACCAGACCCACCAAAGTGACAAATTCAGCCAGTAGTGAGGACAGAAGCAGTATACTGAAGGCTCATATAACCCAGTGTAATGAAAGGGAAGCTATATTGTAACTAAAAGTATGTTTCCTCAAATTTAAAAGTAAACATTATACAGTTATTGCAGATTAAACATATAATCATGGAAACATCATTTTAGAAAAACTGTATCTGCAGAATGACAATCCCTGAATCTCATCTGATTAGGCACAGTAAAGTGGTATTGCACATCACAGGCTGGAGGAAAACACAGCCGTCTGGACTACCATCACTGTGAATTCACGATCGCAACCTCAAGGGCGTGCTCAGCAAGCCCAGCAATCCTACAGCACTGCCTCAGAGCACTCACAAAGCCTCTTTCCCAGACAGATGCTTATACCCTGTCCTCACACTGCCAACACTTCCATCCCCACCCTCACTCTATCTCCTCTTTCCTTAAAAAAAAAACAGAATAAATTAGAAAAGAACTTCTACGACCTCCTATATCCACCCACCTACCTGCACCTACCTCTCTCTATCAGTGCTCCTTCTAGAACCTTCTAGAACCACTTGTGCCCTGGATTCCATACACTCTCACCTATGCTTGGATGCCAGTCAGCAAACACCACCCCTTTATGTCTTCAAACCTTCCCTCAATGAAATCATTTCCATCAGCACATAAACATGGTTATATTCACCTCTTAAGGAAACAAAAACAACTTCTCGTTCCTCACCACCAACGGCCCCATTTCTCTGCTGCTCTACATAAAAAACTTGCTATTTTACTCACTATTTTCATTTCTCTCCGAGTGGCCCCCACTACTGCCCCAAATTGCTTCCGTTGAGGTCGCCGCTGATTTCCATGTTGCTAAATTGGATGGTCAATTCCCAGTCCTTCTGTTAGGGCATCAACAGCCTCTGGTGTGGGATCCCACCCTCCTCCCGGAAACACGTTCTTCGCTGGCTTCCTGGTTTTCCTCTTCTCTGGCTATAAATTCCCCTAGGTACCCTCTGCTGTTCCTCTTCACCTCACTAACCTCTGGACATTGAAGTCCCCAAGGTACTTGGACCCCTTCTCTGTCTACACTTGCTCCCCTAACATTCTCATTCAGACTCATGACTTTAAATACCACCTGTATGTTAATGGCTCCCAAATTTCTATCTCTAACTCATACTTGATAAGAGGGCAGATCTTAGGTTAAGTCTTCTTATTACAAATAGTAATAATAATAGGAGAGGGAGGAAACTTTGGGAGGTGAAGGATACGTCTATGGCCTTGATGGTGGTGATGGTTTCAGGGGTGTATACCTATCCCCAAACTCATCAAGTTGCATACATTAAATATGTAAAGCCTTTTAACATGTCAATTATACCTCAATAAAGTAGTTAAAAAAATATCTTCTTGAGGAATATCTATATATGCGCTAAAAATCCTTTTCTAAAATTCATGGACGTAATAAAATTCAAAATAGGAAGACAAAGAGTTAACAGGAGGGCACTAAACAGGTAAATTCGTTCTTAGGTTGCATGTGAGCACACAGGTGTTTAATTACTTTGCATCCTTTTATATATAGGATATATATAACTTTTATATAACTTACATATCACACATTCTTTTGTTTGTATCCAAAATTATGGCAATTTTTCAAGAGCACATGTGACCCAGTTCTACACTGAAAGCACTGAGCATAGGAGTAAATAGTCAGGACAGCGCCAATGAATTCAAATGTATGCCCTTAAGGAGTTGAAAGTCTTATAAAAAGTTACTGTATTTTCATAGCATTTGGTTCTGCTACTATCATTATAAAAAAATATTTTTTATATTTCATAAGCATATATGAAAATATAATCGTATCAATTTTATTCTCAGGTTCAACCTAATACTAATGCTCCTCTAGAATTTTTAAACAGGAAATTTCTAAAACTGCAAATGAGACTGGTCAGGAAGGACTGGGAGGTTCACCTGTCACTACTCTCATCTCTGATGTCTACGGGTTTTCAACTGCTGTTTTACATACCTTAGTTTAAGGAGAGAAGAAAGAGCTCAATGCTTCTACTATTATCACTAACTTTCTCTGTGAAGTATTTTCTACTTAAAAGGTACTCGGAGATGAACATATTTAAAAACAAGTAATTATAAAATTACTGCCATTCTCATGCTTTAGCAGAGTGGCAAACAGAAATGGATCCTGCTTAAACATATACAAGACAGTGATCATTTTAAATGGTCTAGAAATCAATAAGCATGCATAAATATTTTTAAAAAGCAAATGAAATTACATTATAGTAACCAACACACGGAAACCACTAGAATGTCAACTCACGAGAACAGATGGTTGCTCCTTCACCACTGTATCCCCAGCACCACTGGGAGATACTCAATAAATATTTTTCTTAAATTATATAATTTCTTAATATATAATTATATAATTTCTTAAATATATATAATTTCTAAATTATATAAAAAGTTTTCTCTTTGTTTTAAAAAGACGGAAGTTTCCTCTCTAGAACTCTAAATACCAATGCTATATCAAGCAAGATACCAAGAGAAACAACTTATCCTCACCATCTTGGGCACTGGAACCTTTCAACCTGCATGTGTTCAACAGCTTCAACAGCAGCTGGAGGCATCTGTCAGTCTTCAGCAAGGGCATGTAGGCATTGGTACTAAACTTCATAAGCACATCCAGAAGAGGGTCTAAGAATATCCGCAATACATTCTCTGTTCTCTGCTTTCCGCTAGACATTAAAAGACATGCCAAAATCAACCATTTCAAAAGCATAAGCAAATTGCTTCCCACCTATAATTGGGTGAAAACTGGTTAGCTAATGGATCCAATTAGACAAAGTTACTCTCATGAAAGACCCAGACAACCAGCAGCTATGAGGACTCATCTTCTGGTCCGTGCTTTCCCGTGAGGGTGGCGACTCACTAAAGAAGGCACAGGGAAGAACCACTGTCTTCAATGCCAGGCACCAGCAGGAAGGAAATCCTATACCCAATTAATGTGTAAATTAAATTAATGACACCCTGCTTCCATAATACAAAAATATAAAACCAAAACAAACATAAGCTAGTCAAGGAACTAGAACATGTTTTTAAAAATCCAAAAAAAAAAAAAAAAAACCTAAGGATTTATTAAAAACTGTTAACCAACTTTTTTTTTTTTTTTTTTGAGATGGGGTCTCACTCTGTCGCCCAGGCTGGAGTGCTGTGGTGTGATCATAGCTCACTGTGGGCTCAACCTCCCAGGCTCAAGCGATCTTCCCACATCAGCCTCCTAAGTAGCTGGGACCACAGGTGTGAGCCACCATGTGCAGGTAATTTTTTAATTTTTGTAGAGACAGGGTCTCGCTTATTTTCCCAGACTGGATAACCAACTTCGGTACAAAATCTTTGTCTAGAAAAGAGATTTGATGTAAATCAAATTAACTGTATGTCACGCAAATATCCTACCTGATCTACCTAATGATGCTGCTTATTGCAAAACAATAATCAAGTGAAAACTGACCTGCTTCCATTCTCACAAAATATAAATGAGTGTTTTATCTTTATTACCGTTTTTTTAATTATGTATTTTACAAAGGAGTCAAATCCAGTAAATCTCTTTACCTAAACTTATACTGGAATCTTGCAATCTATTTCTAATATTCTGATATAAAACCAGTGACTATTGTATATGGTTTTTTAATCTTCTCTAATTTAACATTAAATGTTTTTCAGATGAAGTCTCACTTTGTGGTCCAGGCTGGAGTGCAATGGTGCAATCGTGGCTCACTGCAACCTCCGCCACCCAGTTCAAGTGATCTTCCCGCCTTAGCCTCTCTAGTAGTTGAGACTACAGACGTGCACCACCACGCCCGGCTGATTTTTGTATTTTTAGTAGAGACAGGGTTTCACCATGTTGGCCAGTCTGGCCTCAAACTCCTGACCTCAGGTGATCTGCCTGCCTTGGCCTCCCAAAGTGCTGGGATTACAGGCATGAGCTACTGTGCCTGGCCATCTAATTAACATTAAATTGTTAAGTTTAACATTTAATTTACCAATTTAAAAGCACTAATATGCCCCTATTCCTATTTGTTATTAACTTTAAACATTTCTTCAGTATACTGTTAATGTTCTAGTACCTTCCTTGACACCTTGTGGTCAACTAAGTTCAATCATTCAAAAATCTGAATACACATCATAATTCTCATCAGGATTTTTCAAATAGGCTTTCTTTTCAATTACAGAAACAATTACCTATACTGAGTCTTCATTCCTTCCACATCCACAGCCAGCAAGACCATCAGAGAAACAAGCTTGGCTTCAAACCAATCAGGCATAAAGCAGTTTTCTCCTGCTTAAATAACAACAGTTAAGGTTTGCAAAGCATTAACAAAATCCTTCAAGGATGATGCTTCAAAAAAACCCACTAAATGATTATGCCTTATTAATATTAAATTATGAGAGAAATACAACCGAGATGAACTACAGCAGAACACCCTAGAGCATGGCTCATTATTATACATATCTATTTCAACAGGAACAAAAAAGAAATTTGTGTGCCTGCTACATGCCATGCAATTACCTGGGTGCTGCAGACCCAGTGTTTCCTGTGCTCATGGAATTTAGAGTACAGGAGAAAAGCATTATCAAAGAATACATAGAAAAATGCAATTATAGTGAGGGCTACGAATGAGAAGTACATGGTGCTAGTGGAGTCTACACTAGGAAGACATGCCCTCATCCAGAGAGTAAGAGGAAGTTTCCCTGAAGAAATGACAATTGGGCTGAGTGTGACGACTCAAGAGGAAAGATGAAGGGACACGAGAACTTTCTAGACAGAAGGAAGAGCACATCAAAGGTCTTCTAGCAGAAGAAGGCATACCATATTCCAGAAAATAGGAGGATGCTCATGTGTGCACTAAGTGACAGGGAGCAGCAAAAACTGAAGTGGCATAAACAGGCAGGGGAGAGACCAGGAAACCTTGCAGGCCATGCAGAGGACCTTTGTCTCTGCCCTAAAGGCAATAGGAAGCCACTGAAGGTTAAAGGGAATATATACAAAGAAGTGGAGGAAAAATGTCTAAAATCAAAATTTATATTTTGAAAAGATTTATCTAGGTACCATGTGGAAAAGATATTGTAGATGAAGCAAGAGTAGATGCAAGGTAACTCCGTAAGAGGCAATTCTAGTATTTCAGCTGAGATGAGTGTTCCCTAAAATGTGACCAGAAATGAGATTAAATGAATGAAGCCACAAAGGCCATGGTCTCTCAGACCTCTATCTGACCTCCCAGTTTATGTCTACTTTAATAGAGACTAACATATTTACTTCAAATAATCTTCCAATGTAACAGCATAAGACATTTACTAGACACAGACAGACCAAAAAAGACTAAAAATACAAAAGAGAAATGTTCCAAGAAGAATAAACTCATGCATTTTGGAAGGATAATTATCTGATCATTTAAGACCTATTCCATGGTCAGATTAAAGAAATCAGGAGATGAAAATGACTTTGTGTGAGACAAAGCTAGGAAATTTAAGACATGTTAAATTCGAAGATGCAATTTTCCTAAATTATCACCAATGACTTTAATGAAAAGGAAGCATTAGGAATGTAAAAAGAATCCTAATTAATGAATCTGTTAAGAGTGCTTCTCTAATGTTGTCTTATATATTTCCTCAAAGAAAGGATCTTTGTAAAATTGATGTTGCAAAGTATCTGCTGAAAAAGAAACTAACAAAACTATCCTTTTAAACACAGCCTTTGTTTAAAATTGTTTTTCATAATCAGTTCATACTAAACGTGCTTTAAAAATGAAAAAGATAAACACGTATTTCCAATGCATATATTTCCACTACAGAGGCTCCAAAACCATATCTGCAGTATCTAGTTCACAAGGACCCAGTAATTGCAGAATAAATAAATGACTTTGCATCCACTTCTTAACTCTGGCAACTTATTAGTTTCCTTAAACATAAAATAATTTAGAATCTCAAGTCTCAGAACAGATAAAGTATTAATACAAGTTAGGAGACAGTATCTTTACTTTTTTTTCACATTATTTTACTGAAATACAAGTTTGGCATCAATAAATCATCATATATTTCGTAAAGCCTAACTCTCAGTCTGAAAAACTAGTTAAAAGTTCTTTGAAAATATTTTGGTTATATCAATCCATAAAAATGATTGCAGACTTACTTTCCCAAGCAGATGACTTAACATACTCTTGAACAATGCTCTTTACATAAGCATTTAAAGATGTCTTGTGAAGTCCAATGGAGCTACACGTAGGGGATGGCTTAAAATAGCTTTCATTAACACGTAGCCAGTCACACAGCTGGAAAAGAAAACAGTTATTACTTTATTTTAAAAACCTAACCAAACAAAGGATTTCTAATCTCCTTAAGCCACGTTTCTTTCTTTCACGATAAACCAAATTTAAATAATCGAATACAAAGTAATAAACCATTTACTATCATACTTGAGTTCCACAGACAGTAAAAACAAAAAAACTATGTGTATATATATTTATGTATGCGTATATGTATGTGTGATATATATATGTGAGATATATATATATATACACATATGTGTGTGTGTGTGTTTTCTAATCTCCTTCAAAGAATGTATAAACTTCATTAACAGGCAAGAATTTCTAATGTACCTTATATAAAATGTACACTTTAATGAGGTAAAGATCTCTATAAAAAATAACGCATTACATAAAACAACTTACAACCTTCAACTAAAACTTCTTCCAGCTTCACATGCTAAAACAAGAAGTTTTATCTTTGAGAGAATGTAGAATTTGAAATTTAAGTTATAATCAAAGTTCCTACCCTCCTCACAAGTTTATTTTCTATCATACGTGCATATTAAAATACTGCATATTAATTTAAAAGAGAAACACTGTCCGAGGCCTTCTCCATTACATCTCTTAGAAGGTTTGCAAATAAAAGTCACATAATTTCACAACTCATCTTTGGTCACGTATAATGGTGAAACTTTTGTTTTAAAATCTAAATATGTTCTCAATTTCCTTTTTATAATATCTGTCTTAATAAGCAAATTCAATAACTGAGTTTAAATATGAAGAAAATAATTATGAAATGAGTCTTTCTAAAAAGTAAGCATTTTTGAAAAATTATTTTTTGTGTCCATTAGGGTTACCCAAAGTTTACTATAAGGAGGCAAAGGAAGAATACATCACCTGACCAAAGATAAAACTGATGAATGGGCCGGGCGCGGTGGCTCACGCCTGTAATCCCAGCACTTTGGGAGGCCGAGGCGGGCGGATCACGAGGTCAGGAGATCGAGACCATCCCGGCTAAAAACGGTGAAACCCCGTCTCTACTAAAAATACAAAAAAATTAGCCGGGCGTAGTGGCGGGCGCCTGTAGTCCCAGCTACTTGGGAGGCTGAGGCAGGAGAATGGCGTGAACCCGGGAGGCGGAGCTTGCAGTGAGCCGAGATCCCGCCACTGCACTCCAGCCTGGGCGACAGAGCGAGACTCCGTCTCAAAAAAAAAAAAAAAAAATGATGAATGACTGGATCATCGAAGTGGTCAGGACTAAAAGACACCACACAGGTACAATGAGTGAGCAAGTCAATGACGCTAAAGGAGGTTGTTCTGTGTAGGTCTTTATCAAGTCGGATAATCTTAAGATATTATTGTCTAACAGTGAGGTCAGCCGGTATTTATCTTTTAACAGTATACACTTTTCTTTGCATTCCTCTAAAACTGGCCAGACTGCGTTGCCTAATTATTGCTACAAAATACGTGAGGCTTTTCGAATCTTGTATTTCCACAGGCATGATTCTGCTGTATCAAAATTATTTTTGACAACTAAACTCTAATTCATATTTGATTTTTTTCTTTCCCTCTATCAAATCTGTCACAAAATTCAGAATATTTTCCCTTCAAAGACTTTTCATGTCAGACTTATGGTTTAAAATGACATCTAAATGGCAGTCTCTGGGTAGGCAGGTTCCCTTGATTCCCCATTACAATACAAGTCTCAAAAATCTATTTGGACACATAAAGAGAATGAGAGGACAAGCCACAGACTGGGAGAAAATATTTGCAAAACACATATCTGATAAAGGACTGGTATCCAAAGTATTCAAAGGACTTTTAAAACCTCACCGTAAGAAAACACATAACCTAATTCAAAAATGTGCAAAAGAACTGGATACCTCACCAAAGAAGACATACAGATGGTAAATAGCATATACAAAATGCTCAGTATCATCTATTTTCAGGGAATTTGGAATTACAACAATAAGACACCACTATATAGCTACTGGAGTGGCTAAAATCCAGAACGCTGACAAACCAAATGCTGAAGAGAATGTGGGGCAGTAAGAACTCTCATTCTTTGCTGGTAGGAATGCAAAATAGTATGGTTCGAAAGACAGCTTGGCAATTTCTCTAAAACTAAACATAATCTTACCACTCAATCTGGCAACTGTGCTCCTTGGTATTTACCCAAATGAGTTGAAAAGTTATGTCCACACAAAAACCTGCATAAAGATGTTTACAGTAGTCTTACAACTGCCAAAACCTGGAAGCAACCAAGATGTCCTTCAGTAGGTGAATGGATAAATAAACTGTGGTACATCCAGACAATGAAGTCTTAGTAAGCACTAAAAAAAAAAAAATGAGCTATCAAGCCATGAAAACACAGGAAGGAACCTTAAGTGCATATTACTAAGTGGAAGAGCCAATCTGAAAAGGCTGGGTCCTGTATGATTCCAACTATGTGGCATTATGGAAAAGACAAAACTATAGAGAGTAAAAAGATCAGCTGCCAAGGTCTGGGGGAAAGGAGGGATGAACAGGCAGAGCACAGAGAATTTTTGGGGGCAGTGAGACTATTCTGTACGACACGTCTGTCAAAGCCCATGGAATGTACAATGTGAAGAGTGAACCCTAATGTCAACTATGACCTTTAGTTCATAATAGTAATCAATATGGGGGTCATCAATTGTAACAAATGAACCACACTAATACAAAATGTTAACAACAGGGGAAACTGTGTGTAGGGACAGGAAGAGTGGTGTGGGAGTATGTGGAAACTCTCTGTACTTTTTTTGTGTGTTTTTTTTTTTTTTTACATTATTACTTTATTTTTAAAATATACTGAGACAGGGTCTCGCTATGTTACCGAGGCTGGTCTTGAACTCCTGAGCTCAAGTGATCTGCCCGCCTCTGCCTCCCAAAGTACTGGGATTACAGGCATGAGCCACCATGCCTGGCTGGAACTCTCTGCACTTTGTTTAATTTTTCTGGAAACCAAATACTGTTTCAAAAAATAAAATCTATTAATTAAAAAACTATTTAGGGTGAGCTACATGAAAATGCCATTTCTATAGGTTTAAAATTACTGAATATCAATGATTTTACATGACTTAACATAACTAGATAATTAGATAATAATGAGAACACTACATAACAAAAGTTATAGGATACAGTCAAATTTACACTAAAATATATATATACATACATGTAAGTGCTTTCAAACAAAAAAAGAATTGAAATCTGGATTCAGCTATAAACCACCAACTTTATAAGCCTCCTGAGGGTAGTCAACATGTTTCTCTCACTGACCACTGTATTACCAACACTCAGCACAGTGCCTGGCCTGTGGGAGATGTGCAATACATAGTTCTCAACAAATGACTCCAGGACATTAGGAGACAGGCAAAACAAACGAAAGGAGAGTCAGAGATGAAAACAGACACTGATGCATTACAGAACCGAAAAATTAAGGGGAACAGATGAAGAAATCTAAGAGCTGGCTCCTTAAAAACAAATAATACAACAGGCAAATGTCTCACTCCTTAAACCAGGGCGAAAAGACATTAGTAATATTAGATATTTACATTAAATATGGGCTAACCGTAGCCTAAAGCTTTTTTACATGAATTTTCTCTTTTAAACCTCACAACTCATACAACAAAATAAATTCCAGCTGGAATAGAGTCCACAATTTTAAAGCTATGCCTACTAGCTGCAGTGAATAGGCCTTATTTGAATACCTGAACAAACAAAATTGGACATCTGACCAAACAGAAAGAAAATAAATTTTAAAAACATTTCTTAGTTTTTTTAGGTGTGATAAAGGCTTATTTTTTAAGCCCTTTAAACTCCTTATCTTTTAGCAGTACATATTCAAAAATTTTTAGATGAAAAATAAGATTTGATAGGATTTGATTCAAAATAATTGGGACAGGAAGGGAGAGTAGGAGGTCCAGGTCAAAGAAGACCGGCCATGAGCAGCAATGGTAGATGATGGGTGATGGGTACATGAGAGTTCATTATACTCTTCTAAGAATTTTTAAAATTTTCATAAGTAAAAAGCTACCAGGAAAAAACTAAACAAAATCAAAAATCAAAATGAAACTGAAAAGATGCCTGAACTTACAAATTATAAGAGAATGATTAATTAAAATTATACTGAAATGCCCTTTCCCATCCTTCAGACTGGTAAAAAATCCTGCTTCACAACAGGCACTATCATACCCTGTGAAACTCCTGCAACCCTATGGTAGGCCCAAAGATACCGAGGTCCTAATCCCGGAACCTGTGAATGTTACCTTATGCAGCAAAAGGAGCTTTGCAGATTTAAGTATTCTCAGATGGGGACATTATGCTGGATTATTTGAGGGGGCCCAATGTAATCCTAAGTGTCCTCATAAAAGGAAGGCAGAGGCAGATTTGGCCACAGAAACAGAAGAGAAGAATGTGATATGAAGACGAAGCAGAGATCTCGAAATGCCAGGCTGCTGGTTTTGAAGATGGAGAAAGGACCATGAGCCGAGAAATGCAAGCAATACAGCTCCAGAAGATGAGGAAGTGGACTCGCCCCTAC
The DNA here is from genome assembly GCF_000001405.40 of Homo sapiens. Taxonomy (NCBI): domain Eukaryota; kingdom Metazoa; phylum Chordata; class Mammalia; order Primates; family Hominidae; genus Homo; species Homo sapiens. The sequence goes on from NC_000001.11 coordinate 234,455,104, forward strand.
AAGGAAGCACAAGCCAGCCAGAATCTTAATTGCAGACGAGTGAAACGGATTCCAGACTTCTGGCCTCCAGAACTGTAAGGGAATAAATGTATGTTATTTTAAGCCACCAATCTGGTGGTAATTTATTACAGCAACCATAGGAAACTATGGAGGGAAACTGGGCAATCCCCAGAAAGATTACACAGGCACCCAACCTCTGACCAGCAATCCCAATTCTAGGACTCCATTCTGCAGATGTACCTGCAGACTATTCATTTATTGTGGCATTGTCTGTAAAAGCCACAAGACTGGACAACTCAACAGTTCGGCAATGGGGGAAATTGAATAAACAATGGTACAACCACCAGATGGAATACTATGCAAGCTTTACTTTACAAAATACTATGCAAGCTTTACTTTACAAAAAAAGACTAAGAAGGGTCTTTGCCTACTGAGATAAAGAAATCACTATGAATATACATTTTAATGAAAACTTGCAAGGTAGTAAGCAGAGTCTATATCAAAAACACCTTTGTTTGGGGATGGGGTGGAGTACGATAAGGATCAAGGCAAGATAGAAGAGCAAAACAGAAATAAGACACTTCTGACCAATAGTTTTAATCTTCAAATCACGTAAATTCATTACCCATTCAGCAAGCAAAGCTAAATTTTTTAAAAAGGAACTAAAAAAAAATTATTTGCAGTAGGTATAACAACTTGTCAATACCCTCAATATAAAAAGAGCACTTACAAATCAAGTAAAAAAGAAAAAAAAACCACTAAAATCCCAAAACAAAATGGGGAAAGGACAATAATAGACAATTCACAAAAGAAATACTACAAAGACATGAAAAAATGTTTTAAAAAACAGTGATCAGAGTAATGCAAATAAAGTCACCAAATGCTATGTTTTATCTACCAAAGTGGCAAAGAATTTAACATGCTGATACATTTGGTATTGTATCACTGTAGATAAAGTGGATGTCCACTGTCATACTTTGAAACCTCTCTCAATCTGTATCAGGAACCTTAAAATTATTGAAATACAGCAAATTCAATTTTATGAATTTATCCTAAAAAACAGGTATAAATAAAAACATATAGAAATAAGTTCCTCCCAATGTTATTTACTTTTTGAGACAGGGTCTCACTCTGTCGTGCACGCTGGAGTGCAGTGGCACGATCTCAGCTCACTGCAACCTCCGCCTCCCGGATTCAAGCAATTCTCCTGTCTCAGCCTCCCAAGTAGCTGAGACTACAGGCACACACCACCATGCCCCGATAATTTTTGTACTTTTAGTAGAGACGGGGTTTCGCCATGCTGGCCAGGCTGGTCTCGAACTCCTGGCCTCAAGTGATCTGCCCGCCTCAGCCTCCCAAAGTGCCACTGTGCCCAGCCCAGTGTTATTTATAAAAGCAAAAACTTTGAAACAAAGTCCAAGAAAAGGAACTAATACAATAAATTTTAAATGATACAATCAACTGCATTTTTACTACATCTTGAAAAATTACTTAGCAACATGCTAAAATGCTCATATATATGTGAATACAAAAAAATAAAATTTAAAACAGTTTAATCTATATTTAGAGAGATCATATGTATTATTTTAAATACACATATACTTATCTATAATGAGAAGGCAAGTAAGAGAATACGTATATTCATAGGGAAAAAGAACTAAAAACTAAACCAAAAAATATGAATTTAGTTTGACGGTAGGCATTACAGATTATTTTTATTTTCTTTATATGGTTCTATATTTTTCAAATTCCACAAAATTAGATGCATTGTGATCAAGAAAATAAAACAAAATTCTATTTTTTAAAGGCCACAATTTGCCCCTTCTTCATTTCTCAAAAACTATATAACCCAGAGGGGACAAAGATCAGAACTCAGCCACATAAATAACAAATAAGCACTGAAGTCAGTTGTATAAACTAAACCCCGTGGTTTACAAAAAGAGGGAGGAGGCTGGCCCTGAAGAGTCCTGAGGAAAAGGGTGGCACAGTAAGAGGTCTGGAGGCCAGGGACGTGACATCAACAAGACATCATCACAAGGGAAGAAGCTTCACATGAGGAGGGTCTGAGCTAGAGCCACAGAGCGGCATGGAGAAGAGGAAAGATGTTTATGAGACAGGAGGGTTTCATGATGAATTGGATGCAGAAAGTCAGGACAAACTCAGAATTACCAAAACATAAGGACTGGACAACTGGGTGGAGGAAGGGGCCATTCAATGACAGAAAAAAGAGAAAGAGGAGTTTGTGTCACTTACTGTGTTTGAGTCTAACATCGCCATTATTCCTAATGCATCTCATCCAGAGTTGAGATCTGCCCACTAGCAATATCTTTTCTTCTAAATAGGTCTATCTGTACTGCAAACATTTTCCTCTCTCCCACCTCTCCATAAGCATCTTAGCAGAATTAGTTAAGTCCACTCAAAGCAAATATACAATATTTCAAAGTCTCTGCTGACAGATAACAAAGCAATCATTATATTTTATATAAATGGCTACTAAGAAATTCATTAAGAAAACCATTTTTTATAGTTTTCAAAGACTTTATTAAATTATCTTTAATCTCACCTCTGTCCACAATGAAGTTCCTCGTCCTAAGGATTCCTCTTGTCTCAGAGACATGAGAAAAGTTGAGACATCAGAAAGTGACACTTTCTCCTGGGCAGGGCAGGAAAGGTTTTAAAAATTACTCGTATTAAAATGTTTAATTGAATAAACTAAAACCACTGTGAAGGCAATCAATTCTACTACTTAAAGTAGGTTATCATTAGCTAAATCAAAAGAAAGCAAATATCATTAGCTAAATCAAAAGAAAGCAAATAAAAAGAAAATATTATTCAACTTTTAACATAAAGATACCATGTTAACTTAAAATTGAGGTTACTATCTTAAAGACAGTCACAATCTTAAAAAAAAAAAAAACACCATTCTATAAGAAGAAATTACTTTCAATCAAAATGTGAGGACAGGCGCGGTGGCTCACGCCTGTAATCCCAGCACATTGGGAGCCCGAGGTGGGTGGATCACCTGAGGTCAGGAGTTCGAGACCAGCCTGGCTAATATGGCAAAACCCCATCTCTACTAAAAATACAAAAATTAGCCAGTTGTGGTGGCAGATGCCTGTAATCCCAGCTACTTGGGAGGCTGAGGCAGGAGAATCACTTGAACCTGGGAGGTGGAGGTTGCAGTGAGCCAAGATCGTGCCATTGCACTCTAGTCTGGGAGACAAGAGCAAAACTCTGTCTCAAAAAAAAAAAGTGATTATTTTCAATGCCATAAAAATGAGCCCCTGACTCAGAAAACCACCTAGGTCTTTCATTCCCTTAAGGTTGTACATCTTGAAATAAGATACCTTGGCTCTATCTAGGCCAGGCATTGGCAAAAACTATTCACAGCCTGTTTTGTAAATAGTTTTTTTGGAATATAGCCAACGCCTGTTTATTTAGTTCAGAAGTTGCAACACAGATCATAAAGCCAGCGGCAAAGCTTTAAAAAAGTTTGCTACCTGGCACTGCACAGAAAGAGTTTGCTGACCCCTGTAGTAAGCAATATTTACTGAGGCTTTGTAAAAAGCACAGGATACACACCATATATATTCCTTGAATGTCGATACAGGGGAAGATGAGGGGAAATGTAGAGAGGGAACAAGGCATACGCTCCAAGAGTCCTCTCCCAGTGGGCCACCCAGGACACACTTAGCTCCCCCAGCAACAAGCTGTGACAACACAGTGAAAGTCTGTCTACCAGGGAAGCTCAATGGAGACTCAGTGCCTCGGGCTTTTCCTGGGACGTGGTCATGCAGGCACCTTTTGCCTCATACATACTGAAATTCCAGACTCTCAGAAAGAAAGCAGGTTTTCAGCATAAACCACATTGAACAAACACTTTAGATACAATAAGCCACTCTTAGCAGTTAGGATAGTGTAAATCCTCCCAAAATCCAAGGTCCCAGTGCCAGCCAAGGACTATTTAGAGAGATCATATGTATTATTTTATTACAAGCACATTTATTATTTTATTACAAGCAGGCCTTTCTAATGGCAGTATCACAGGTCTGCTATGTTAACTCATTTCTGTACACCCACTCACTAAGAAAGACTTGTAAATGGAAGTAACAAAAGAAAAACTTACCACATCTAGCAAATTCATAGCTGTTTGAAGAAGGTAGCATTGGGCTGCCCCTCTCAGGAGAATCTGATGTGTGATCATAGTGCAATGAATAACATCCCTGACATCGAAACACAAAAAATGCAGTTCCGTATTCCCAAAGACAATTCTGATAATTTGTGATTATCAACAAGTTGATTTATAACAACTACACTTCCTAATGCAGAAAGTCTGCAGAATTTCAAAGCTGTTATTTCCCATTATGGCCTCTATTAAGAGCTCAATTTTACTATGAAACAAGTCTCTTTTAAAAATAAGACTATAGGCCGGGCGCAGTGGCTCACACCTCTAATCCCACAACTTTGAGAGATTGAGGCGGGTAGGTCACCTGAGGTCAGGAGTTTGAGACCAGCCTGGCCAACATGGTGCAATCCCGTCTCTACTAAAAATACAAAAATCAGTCGAGAGTAATGGCGCACACCTTTAATCCCAGCTACTTAGGAGGCTAAGACACGAGAATCGCTTGAATCCAGAAGGCAGAGGTTGCAGTGAGCCGAGATCGCACCACTGCACTCCAGCCTGGGTGACAGAGCGAGACTCCAGCTCAAAAAAAAAAAACTATAAATGAAGATGCTTTTAAAGAAGTTTATATTTACTGAAATACTTTTTCTTTTTTTCATCTCCTCAAAATTCCTTTTTACCAAATATTTTTTAAATACTTTCTGTTAAATATTATTGTTTGATATTTTATCTTTAGCTTTCTACTTACGAATGTAATTTTAAAAAAAACTTACTGGCCTTATTTAAAGAGGTCAAAATTCAACAGCACATACTTCAGTACACATTTAAACTAGTAATTTGTAAAACAAAATAAGTTCAACTATACGAATAATACATTTTTTAATTTTTTTCTTATGTAAAATTAAGAGCCCAAACATCCCAATCCCAATATTAACTATATCCATTTACTGTAGATTAAAGCAGAGGAGAAAATATATATATTGATGGAAAGTCATGGCAAATAACCATACAAGTACATATACAGAGTAAATTACCTGAGAGCAAGAAGCCCATCTATACCCAGGGCCTTATGTCTTGGGACATTTGCCAAAGCCTTAGATAGAAACAAAATGGGAACAGCACACCAATGCCTACTTGTCATCTTCCGAATAAACTTCAATAGGAAGCTACCTGAAAGAAAAAGTTTTAAATTATCATTGTTGCCAATTAGCACATGAAAAGAAGCTCAATACCATTAGGTATTAGGGAAATACAAGTCAAAACCATAGTAAGGCTCCACTTCCCACACACTATGATGGCTATAATCTAAAGGACAGACAATACTCAGAGTTGGGGAGGATGTGGAGAACCCAGAACCCTCACACAATGCTGGTGGGAATGTAAAACGGTGCAGCCGCTGTGGAAAAAAATATGGCAGTTCCTCCAAAACTTAGACGGACCACATGATCCGGTAATTCTACTTCCAGGTATATATCCAAGAGAATCAAAGATGTGTTCATACAGAAACTTGTACATGAACATTCATAACAGCATTACTCAAATAGTCAAAAGTGAAAACAATCCAAATGCCTACCAATGAATGAATGAACAAAATGTGAAATATCTATACAGTGAAATACTATTCAGCCACAAAAAGGAATGAAATGCTGATACGTGCCATAACAAGGATAAACCTTGAAAATACTATGCTAGTGAAAGAAGCCAGACACAAAAAGCCACGTATTGTATGATTCCACTGACATGAAATGTTGAGAATATGCAAATCTATAGAGACAAAGAGGATCAGTGGCTGCCAGGAGCTATGGGTAGAAGAGAATGAGAAGCGACTATTAACACACCTGAGGTTTCTTTTTGAGGGTGATCAAAATATTCAGGAATTAGACAGTGGTAACAGCTGTACAACTTTGTGAATACACTAAACACCACTAAACCAAATGGTTTAAAAGGGTGAATTCTATCTCAATAAAGCTGTTGTAAAAAAAAGTTAATTTAATTCCTAGTTTAGTAAGATAAGTATTCTACTGTACTATAGGGATTCTGATACCCATGAAGCTGTATTTTTTTAAAAGGTAATTTTTTGTTTGTTTGTTTGTTTTGAGACAGAGTCTCACTCTGTTGCCCAGGCTGAAGTGCAGTGGCTTGATCTTGGCTTACTACTACAACCTCCACCTCCTGGGTTCAAGTGATTCTCCTGCCTCAGCCTCCTGAGTAGCTGGGATTACAGGCATGTGCCACCACACCCGGCTAATTTTTGTATTTTTAGTAGAGACGGGGTTTGGCCATGTTGGCTGGCTGGTCTCAAACTCCCAACCTCAGGTGATCTGCCCACCTCAGCCTCCCAAAGTGCTGAGACTACAGGCGTCAGCCACCACACCCGGCCAGTAAAAGATAAAATTGTTTATGATTAGAAGCCATTCTTCTATTTGAGATGTGAAGGAAAAACAGGATAGGAAGTATTGATGGTTAGTGGCCTCTAGTATATGCAAACAGTAACATCTTTCTCATAGGCTGTTTCTTGACTACCTTGGATTTAATTACGATTATTTATATTTCTATTTTGAGATACAAAGGGATAGTGCTTCATTCTGTCCTCTCTGCTAATCTGTGATTTCTTAAGGACCCTCATCTCATGTAGTTAGTGAAAATGTCTGTTTTCTCACATAGTTGTAGAATGACTTTCAAGAAATCCTCAGAAGCTACTAAAAGGATATTACGCGGACTTTGTGTCTTTTGAAATACCTAGCACAAAAGACATTCAGAACACCCAGAAGATATTCACTGGAAACTGGTGACTGAAAAATGACTAAATAACTGTGAATGAATGTTTTAATTGCTCTTTTTGAACTCCTGGCCTCAATTTTTCTTTCTTCCATTTGCACTAACTAAATTCAGTAAATCCCATCTTTTGCCTAACGCTTCACTCATGACACTAGGAAGATGGCAATGGCCAAGTTTCTATTTCACATCGATTCAACATATTTACCAAGCATCTGTGATATGCCTGGTCCTGGATCACAAACACCTGGCTCTCAAATTCTAGGAAGCCCTGACCGACATCACTTCACTCACGTGTGCTACTGACATGTAAGGCAGCAATGCGGCTGACAAATTCATCCCCATATGGCTGCAGCCCAGATGCTTAATTAAACTCCTGAAATCTACCAAACTAAAGAATGACTCTAGGCTGTGTGTGGTGGCTCACGCCTGTAATCCCAGCATTTTGGGAGGCCGAGGTGGGCAGATCACGAGGTCAAAACATCGAGACCATACTGGCCAACACGGTGAAACCCTGTCTCTACTAAGAATACAAAAATTAGCTGGGCGTGGTGGCGCATGCCTGTAGTCCCAGCTACTCGGGAGGCTGAGGCAGGAGAATCACTTGAACCCGGGAGGCGGAGGTTGCAGTGAGCTGAGATCGCACCACTGCACTCCAGCCTAATGACAGAGCAAGACTTCATCTCAAAAAAAAAAAAAAAAAAAGAATGACTCTAACAGTTATCTTCCCCATCTTCCCCATTAACACATTTTTTTAAAGAAAAAGTAATCAAAACAATCAATTTTCTATAAATTTAAAGTCATGATATACAGACCATATTTTCCCTTTTTTCTGACGTTTGAATAGACATTACCATTGGCCATCTTGTCATCCTATTTGCCAGATTAAATACAAAAGAAAAAAATACGTATTTCATACCTAGGCTCACTTTACAAATCACAAAGGTGGGAGTAACACAAGGACTCACAAAGCAGAGTAGGTCCTGCTGCTGCTCAGCAAACAAAAATCACAGTGCTTTTGTGCTGTGCTTTCCAACCTACCTCATTAGAATGAACACTACATCTCCAACCTGAAGATGGGGGATGGTTCTAGGACAAGGTCTTACATAAAACAAGTGTTTTTTTGTTTTTTTTGTTTTTTTGAGACAGTCTTGCTCTGTCACCCAGGCTAGAGTATAGTGGCACAATCTTGGCTCACTGCAACCACTGCCTCTTGGGTTCAAGTGATTCTCCTGCCTCAGCCTCCCAAGTAGCTGGGACTACAGGTACACACCATCATGCCCGGATAATTTTTGTATTTTTAGTGGAGACAGAGTTTCGCTGTGTTGGCCAGGTTGGTCTCGAACTCCTGACCTCAGGTGATCTGTCTGCCTCGGCCTCCCAAAGTGCTGGGATTCCAGGCGGGAGCCATTGCACCTGGCTTATTTTTTCTTTCTTATCTTTCTAAGTTAATATCTATAAAGGGACAACTTGCCACAATGAGTATTCTGTTTACAACTTTTTCCTAAAACCAAGTTCCGTATTTCTCAAATATATTTTACCAATTCTTGAAACTGAATAGTAGACAATTAGAAACGATGGCTAAACTGCAGCACACCTTCTAAAATTACCTCCATGCTACTCATGCCAATACTGGTAGTATGTCATACACAATGACTAAAGTGTGTACTCAAAAAAGATACTGTATAATTCTGAGAAAATATGCATATCCTGGAAAAGGAAACCATTTTGAAAATATTTATTATAATAGTTGATGGTGCTTATAACCAATTTGCTAAAAAAAAAAGAAACTGTAAGCTAAAGCATTTTTAAAAAAACCCTTTACTGACACATACTCTTTATTTCTTCTGGAAGAAGAGAAATATAAGTGACTAAAAACTTCTGTAATTTCAGTCCCAATGGAGAACAGCTTCCTATTGGCTGGCCTGGGGACCTACAAACAGAGAGTGGGGAAAACAAATATTTAACATTTATTTACAAGTGATTACACTAAAACTAGCCTAAATGGACCATGGCCCAAAAGTCTTTCAACAATAAAACAATCAGACAGTTTTATTTTTCTGAACCTGCATTTCATTTTTCAGTAAAATTCTGAGAATTTTTCTGATTACAGAAACATCAGGAACTTGTAGGAAAATGGACATGAGTTAATAACCTACTTTACTAAGGATTTCCTTTTTGTGACTTTCCCTTCCACATATATGAATCTTGCTAAACAGTATCATAAAAAATAAGAGGCTGAAATGATAATTTTAAATTATATTTTATTGTTCCCAACATGTAATCCAATGACTTTAAATTTTTAGGTCTAAAACAAAAGAAGTAACATTCATAGCAAAGACATATATTAGTAATAAATTACTTTTGCAAGAGTATTTAATTGTTAACATCTACTAAAGTCACATTTTTTCTGCTATATGCTTCTTCCAGGAACATTATCTGCTAATTGAACACATTAGAGTGCTAGAAAACTGAAGGCATTTCATAATAAATGTGTTTGTCAACTCTTAGAAAACACCAAGATCTTTTCATTGGTTTTACTGCTCTCCAGCTGTCTAATTGCTTCAGAAAACTATTCAGTAGTAATGAGTTATTTGAAAACTAAAAATAATTGGCAAATCAAGTGTTGCTATGCTCTTTCAATATTATTAAACAGGACTAAATATTAATATAACGTGGCAGAGACTAATTAAAAATGTTTCAAGAAATTGGCTGGTGGGGGGAGGTAGTTCTGTTTAGAGGGCATACTGAACAGCAAGACACAACTATAAATTTAGTTAATATTAGAAAGATAACACAATTTCAAGAGCAAGGGAAATTTTTGAAGACAGAATTCAAGAGTCATAAATGATGCTCAAAAAAATGAGGCTAAGGTACAATCCTGACAAACTTCTCACTGTCAACCTTTTCAAAACTTTAACTGTGGCCTATAAGTAGAGACAGGATGAATAACAGCAGCCACTGTCAGATACGGAAAGGAAAAGGTTAGAATGAACCTTGCAGTACTGAACTAAAACTGGACGTCCTGGTGTGAATTCACGGTTCTTAATATGGATGGATGGATGAACGGATGGATGGATGGATGGATGGATGGATGGATGGCGGACAGACAGGCACTCAAACAGATATAAATGAGTAAGTCTGGTCAGTAGACAAAGCTAAGAAAGATGCGCACACAGGGAGAGGCAACGATCAAGCAAATGCAGTAAAACCTTAACATTCAGGGAATATGGGTGAAAGGGAAATGAGAATTCTTTGGATTATTCTCAAGACTTTTCTGTAAGTGTAAAACTAAGTTAAAAGAAAAAGGAAAATAAGTTTAAAGTGTTGGTTAGTCAAAATCATTACAACTTCCAAGAGAGCAGGAAGCAGCAGTAGGGAGAAGAAAGTGTGCTGTAGAAGACATAGTTTCCAACAGCCCAAGAATAGAGCAGCTCAAGGCAGAAAAAGGAAACAAGAAAAAACAAAGGAGAAACACTTGATGCAAATCAGAATGCAAGAAGAATAACAGATAGAAAAAGGACCACATGATAAGAAAAACTCAACTGTCTATTCAGCAACATACTGTATGTGCCAAATGCATGAAACAATCTGGTCATGTCTCTTAACATGAAATGTATGTATCAAATACTTCATAACATAATGTCTCTTTACCTGCTATACAGAGAGCTCTCTGAAAGCGCATCCATTAATGGTCCAATAATAAACTAAAAAAAAAAAAAAAAAAAGACACGTAATTGAAACTTAGTTGTAAATACAATTTTGAAGTCAGTTTCCCTGATTGAACATCCTACACAGGCTTACAGAAGACCTGCTATAAGCAAAGCTGATCTCTTACGCTGCAGGCTAAATTTAGTGCTGGTCCTGGAGGGGAAGCTTAATTCTACCAGAAAAACAAAGTAAGTACAGAATTTTCCCACCTGATTAAAATTTATGCCATACTAAAAAGAGAGTTCATGTGTTGGGTCAAGAAAGAAGGAAGGAAGCCAAAGAAGAAACATATGCTAGAAAATAAAGGTAATGACAGGAAAACCAAAAAGATACTCAAGAGAAAATTTAAGCCCCTATGCCTAGAGGATAAAGAGGAAAAAAATTATACTCAAAAATTACTATTAGATACTGGTCAGAAAAGCAAGCTTACATGAAGTGCAGAAATAATAGAATGTAGAAACATGATGCATATCAATATACCACAGCATATATTAAAATAATTAGAAAAAACTGACTTAGGCTGGTGCAGTGGCTCCCACCTATAATCCCAGCACTTTGGGAGGCTGAGGTGGGCAGATCCCTTGAGGCCAGGATTTTGAGACCAGCCTGGCCAACATGGCAAAACCCTGTCTCTACTAAAATTACAAAACTGAGCCAGGCATGGTGGCGTGCACCTGTAGTCCCAGCTACTTGGGAGGCTGAGGCATAAGAATCCCTTAAATCTGGGAGGCAGAGGTTGCAGTGAGCTGAGATCACGATACTGCACTCCAGCCTCGGCAACAGAGTGAGACTCTGTCTCAAAAACAAAAAAATTATATCACTATCTGAGAAATATATTCAATCATTCTTTTAAAAAAGAAGAAGAAGAAGCCAGGCACAGTGGTTCACACCTGTAATCCCAGCACTTTGGGAGGCCAAGGCAGGTGGATCACTTGAGGCCAGGAGTTCGAGACCAGCCCAGCCAAGATGGTGGAACCCCATCTCCACTAAAAATACAAAAATTAGCCAGGTGTGGTGGCACCCACCTGTAATCCCAGCTACTCAGGAGGCTGAGGCAGGGGGATCACTTGAACCTGGGAAGCGGAGGTTGCACTGAGCCGAGATCATGCCACTGCACTCCAGCCTGGGTGACAGGCATGAGACACCATCTCGAAAAAAAAACAGCTATTGAAAGAAAAAGAAGAAAAAAATTGACTTAGGTCACCTCTAAATGAGAGGTAGATTACTCTACCTAAGGAAGTCATCATGGGACTCACATGACACCATAATATAAAACTTAAAATCACAGCTATAACTCCCACTGTCTCTGCCTCACGTAGTTCCTGACAAATGGAAGTACAGATTCTAATAAATATTGCTTAGAAGGCAATCCCTATTTCATATAGTAGACAACAGCAATTCATTGAGTCAGAATTGAGGCAGTAGCATCACTAAACAAATAACAGTCATCAGTGGCTCAGAACGGTGACAACAGCATCACCTGATAGCTTCTATACCAGTTTTCATATAGTGAAAACTTGACTTATGCTTACGATTCTTGACTTAACGCTGTTCTGAATATCGATAATATACAACTACTTTTTCACAATGGTAATAATACAGGCAGTTCTACCGTTGGGCTTGTTGAGAAACAACATAAGCTTTTTCCAAATAGGAAAGCTGGGTTTAGAGAAATATGATTTGTTGGATGCAAATCTCCAAAATGTTACTTGCTGATACAGAATCCTAGTGTATTTTTACCTCTCGCCTTTCAACAATGGGAGCAAGGAAGGGGACAGGGTGTCATTACCTCAGAAAATTCTGGTGAAAATGGAAGAATCTTTGTTTCATACAGCTCCAAAAAATGGATAACACCTTCTTTGGACAGGATTTTGTTTTCACTTTCAAACATTCTTTTATAAATACACATATGCCAGGATGGGTGAAAGAGCCAACATCCTGTGGAAACAAACATCAAATGTTGACATCTGATTCTGTCTTCATTTCACCATCAAGACTACATACTCATAAATAATGTACAAACACACACAATAACTTCATTATAACACTACAAGAAGTTTTTGTTACTGTTTTTTGAGAGACAGGTTCTCACTGTGTCACCCAGACTGCAGTGCAATTGCAAAATTCTAGCTCACTGCAGCCTCAAACTCCAGGGCTCAAGCGATCCTCCTGCCTCAGCTTCCTGAGTAGTTTCCTAGCAGGACTACAGGTATGCAAACCACGCCTAGACAATTTTTAAAATATTTTTTAGAAACATGGTCTCAGAATGTTGCCTAGGTTGGTCTCAAACTCCTGAGTTCAAGTGATCCTCCATCCTCGGCCTGCCAAAGCACTGGGATTACAGGTATGAGCCACCGCACCCAGACTGTTTTTAGTCACATCTGAGTATGTCAACCAAAAAAATTTTGGTATTCAGTATTCCGTATTCAGGCAGCTTAATTTTGAAAGACTGTAAATGGGCCAGGCATGGTGGCTCATGCCTGTAATCCAAGCACTTTGGGAGGCCGAGGCAGATGGATCACATGAGGCCAGGAGTTTGAGACCAGCCTGGCCAACATGGCAAAACTCCATCTCTACTAAAAAACACAGAAATCAGCCAGGCATGGTGGTGTATGCCTGTAATCCCAGCTACTGGTGGGGGAGGGACTGAGACACGAGAATCGCTTGAACCCTTGAACTTGGGAGGCGGAGGTTAGAGTGAGCCCAGGCCCCGCCACTGCACTCCAGCTTGGGCAACAGAGTGAGACTCTGTCTTGAAAAAATAAGAAAGACTGTAAACGAATGCTGTAACTGCTACAGTGTACAAAAATTAAATATTACCCCATGCATGCAGGTTGGAACTTCAGATTTGGAATAGTTTCAACCAATTCTTCTCTTATCCCACTTCAATCCATTTTTCACACAGAAATATGAAATTGTCACGCCTCTGCTTAAAATCCTTCAACATCTCCTCATTGTTCTTAGAATAAAGTCCAAACAAGGCATGAACTGACCTTGACTGCCACTCCAACCTCATCCCCCACTCCACACACCAACTCTGCTGCAGCCCTGCTGGTCCTTCTGTTCTGCCTCCTACAGCTGCTCCCATCTCAGGGCTTGTGTCCCAGGTGGTGCCTTCTCAGCCTGGACTCTTAGCTTAGATGTCATCATAAGACAGGCCTTCCCTGACTACCCCACTCACCCTTGAGTCCATTTCATCAGCCCCTTGTCTGTTCCCCTCATATATCTTACAATCAAAACTATTTTTTCATGGAAAACACAAAAGTCAGGTGAAAAATACCACATCTCTCTCACCATTTTACCCCCAATAATTACTAGGTTGGTGCGAAAGTCGTTGCGGTTTTTGCCTTTTTTTTTTTTTTTTTAAAAAAAAAAAAAAGGCAAAAACCGCAACGACTTTCGCACCAACCTAATAGCATGTACTGGACACTAAGTAAATATTTATTCAGTAAATATATAAATGAGTGAGCAAATCAAAACCATGGAATAAATAAATATCTTAGAGATATTTTTCTAACTCTTTTGAAATATCTTTTACTTCTATTAGAGAAAAATACTCAGCATTTTTAACTCATGACATTCTATAAATAAATTAATCCATTATTTGTAATTTACACCAAGATGCTTGTTCAACTCTTTGGCAATGGTAATTTTTCAAAATCAGTCACTGCTATTTGATTTGGTTTCTCAAGAGCTGTGGGCAAAATGTGGTAATAAGAGCATCATTTTAATGGTAAATGAATAAGTGAAGTCACAACAAGATTCAATTAAATTCTAGCCCCAGGTGCAACTACAGATGCTTATGGTCTGTGAAAAATCCCAGTGTATCAGAAAACAACTACAGCAATCAGCTGAATAAAGCTCAATTCCTAAGGGGTCAAACTATTAAACTGTAATTATCTAGAGTAGGCACTAAAAACCATTTACCTAGGTTAATTCTCATGTGTAAACACAATAATGTGGCATTTTATCATTCATATGAACACAGGCCAAAACACTATTGGGCTGCATTTAGCTATTTCATTAAACTTAATTTTATAAAATACATTTAGGAAGCTCCAGCTTCATTGTGTATCTCCTAAAAAGCTCTCATAATATAGTGATCAAGGGCTTATAAACACATTTGAAATTATATCCCGGAATTTTCTCTTCCTAAGAAGTACAAGATACAGAACAATAACTGAAAACTTAAGAAACACTGGAAAAGATATACTAAGAGAATAAGAATGGAAACCAGTTAAAAAGATATATTCATACCAAAGAGTGATTATTGGCCAGGCACGGTGGCTCACACCTGTAATCCCAGCACTTTGGGAGGCTGAGGCAGGTGGATCACCTGAGGTTAGGAGTTTGAGACCAGCCTGGCCAACGTGGCAAAACCCCGTCTCTACTAAAAATACAAAAATTAGCCAGGTGTGGTGGCGCATGCCTGTAATCTCAGCTGCTTGGGAGGCCGAGGCAAAAAAATTGCCTGAACCCGGGAAGCAGAGGTTGCAGTGAGCCGAGATCATCCCACTGCACTCCAGCCTGGGCAACAGATTGCAAGACTCCACATCTCAAAAACAAAAAAAAAGAGCAATTATTAAAACCACAGACTATGTCATCATTGAAACCCTATCGACGAGTCCTTATCTTTTAAAGAAATGTGCTGAAATATTCACAGATAAAATGATAGGATATCTAGGGATGTGCTTCAAAACCATTTAGCAAGAAGGGAACAGGGAAGGCTACATAGGATACACTAAGCAAGGCTGGCCGTGAGACGATCGTTATTAAAGAGGGTGGTAGGTGCGTCACACACACTCTTCTCATTCTATAAATGTTTGAAATTCTCCATCATCAACGGTTTAAAAAATTAACCTTATCTCTTAATTGTAGAAAATTCTGTGGCTATTTTAAATTGTGTTCTTTTTTTTTTTTTTGAGACGGAGTCTTGCTCTGTCACCAGCCTGGAGTGCAGCAGTGTGATCTTGGCTCACTGCAACCTCCGCCTCCTGGATTCGAGTGATTCTCTTGCCTCAGCCTCTCGAGTAGCTGGGACTACAGGCACACACCACCATGCCTGGCTAATTTTTGTATTTTTAGTAGAGACGGAGTTTCACTATGTTGGCCAGGCTGGTCTTGAACTCCTGACCTCAGGTGATCCGCCCACCTCTGCCTCCCAAAGTGCTGGGATTACAGGCATAAGCCACCACGCCTGGCCCAAAATTGTGCTCTTAAAGACGATTTAAGGATATGAGTAGATGCATATAGTTATTATGCTAAGTGAGATAAACATGAACAACATGATCCAGAAGGTGTGTATCTGGAATGGTAACAACTGTTATCTCTTGGTGGCAGCATTACAAGATGATTATATTTTCTTCTGTACACTTTTATAGTTTTTCAAAATTCTCTACAATGAACAGGAATTAGTTACAAAATCAGGGGAAAACCATAAATGTTATTAAAAAATAAAATAAAAGTAATCGTTACCATTTTCCTCTGACACCGCATATTCAAACAGATTGTTTAGCTTTGGTAAAACTGGCTTTATAACATGTATCTAAAAATAAGAGCAAAAAAATCATATGAAATGAAAATGCATCTTGAAAAATGTCAGGCAATTTTCATCTCTTTATTTCACAGTAGCTCTTCTGTTTCTACAAAACATATGTAGAAAGAGCCTGATTTATCCAGTTTTTCAAACAATAGTATGATTCAGGTATGTAAGACTGAGTATGGCAAAGCTAATGAATATAACCACATTACAGCTACATTAAAGTCTACCATTTATACAGTGATTATCATAAATCATGTCATAGAATCCTCAACTGTCCTGGCAGGCAGGTAGGACTGCCAATACTAAGATATTACAAAGAGAAAAAAGACACTGAAATGTTTTCTCTAGTCACTCAAGTTGTTCATGGCTGCACACGCTTAGAACGGCCAGTTCGGAGTTCCATGTTCTTAATACCACATAGCCAAAGTTGCTGACACGTTTGCTTGAGATTAATTTACATATCCTTCAAAATATGGATAAATTTGGGTTTCTAAATAAATAATGGGGGTTTTATGGATCTACTGATTAAAGAAAACCATAAAAGTTAATTTGAATTTAGAAATGCTTTTTCTTTACTCCTCATCCTTGCATCTATATATATTTAGCACATATAAGTAATTATTTAAGTCCACAAACAAGGTTTGGTGCACATTTGGATTGACACCTCACAATGACTCCACAGATGGCTGGCACCTCTGTGGTCCCCAACTTGCAGAATGGAAACCATGGTTCTCAAAGTGTAGTTCCCAGAACAGCAGCATACATATCACCTGGGAACTTGTAAAAAACTCAAAAGTCCTGGACGGGTGCGGTGGCTCACGCCTGTAATCCCAGCACTTTGGGAGGCCAAGGCGGGTGGATTACTTGAGGTCAGGAGTGCAAGACCAGCCTGGCCAACATGGTGGAACCCCATCTCTACTAAAAATACAAAAATTAGCCAGTGTCGTGGCTGTAGTCCCAGCTACTTGGGAGGCTGAGGCAGGAGAATCACTTGAACCCAGGAGGCGGATGTTGCAGTGAGCTGAGATCGTGCCACTGAACCCCAGCCTGGGCGAGAGAGCAAGACTCTGTCTCCAAAAAAAAAAAAAAAAAAAAAAAAAAAACTCAAAAGTCCCAGGCCCCACCCCGACCTACTGAACCAGAAAGTCTGAGGACAGGGCATGGCAATTTATACTTTATAATAAGCCATTTGGGTGATACTGATACTGATAAACGTTAAAGTTTTAGAATGGCAAGGGAAGATCAAATTTTTGAATAATTTGTCAACTGAAAGTATTCTTTAACTTCCTGAAACAACTTACACTCTAAGTTGCATTTATGCCAGACAACAAAGTATACTTGGATTCTATCATCACCAGCTATATCTGAGTTAGTCTCTTTGTATCGCTTTTAATGAATGTTTTTAAAAAAGAAAAATTGTTATCTACTGTAGGATTTGCTAAAATAGAAAAACACTTACCTGATTTCCTTCTAAAGTCTCCATAATTAAAATATAATTTTCCCAAAACTTTAGAAGCTCATCTTTTTTCCTCTCAGACCACCAAAACAGACTTGGGCCTGATATGGTTTAAAAAAGAAAATTAGTTCTTCCTTTTGCAAATTTCATAAGTTTCTCAATGACAGCAGTTCTTAAAATAATGCCACTATTACCAAATGGATTCTCTAATAATGGAGGTGCCCCTGTATCAGAGCCTGGATAGGGGGCTTGGGAATCTCAGAGGGAGATTTTTTTTTGCACTAAGATTACTGTTTTGGAGTTCTGGGTAAAAATGGCAGATTTGCACATATAAACTCTACTTTCTCTCCCTAAGAATCTCACTATAACAGTAAAGGATTTTTCAAGGGCAAAACCCCAAAAGAATGGAGAACACTGGGGGCAGACAACAGCAATAAAATACAGAATCTGAAAATCAGATGAAAACCAAGTTGACTCAAGTCATGAGAATTTTAAGTTGACAAAGGGAAAGCCAGGAAACAATTTGATTTATGCTGCAAAATCCCCCGGAACCAAAGGAAGTGGCTGCAAAAGTTACTCTGGTAAGTGGAGTGAAAAGTGAGGCTAAACCAAAGAGGATGTGTTCAGTGTTTAAGAAACAGTCACATCCCCAGGCCACTTTCCTATGTCCTGAACAGGAAAAGACTAGAACTGCTTTTCTGGAGAAGGTAAAATAGTGCGTCTCTGAATTGGGAGGCACAGGACACAGCAGACATTAGTCCTACTGACAAAGGGGATTCAGCGAACATGTGTGCACCCTGGGTGCTGCGACTCCTCTCTACCTGCCCCCTCAGGTCCTAGAATGCTGGCCAGGCCCTCACTATGCATCAGACAACTGGAAGATGTTCTCTGCAGAATCTGGCCAGCCCAGGAGGAAAGATCTGAAAATATATCAGAGATTCCTTAATGAAATGGCTTGGCCAAATCACCTTATGGTGAAGTTCAGTCAACAGCACCACTCATGGGCTTAGAGCTTTAAACCCAATTTTGATTTCTTATCCTTAAACATAAATAGGGATCTAAGAATCATCAGACAGTTGGGGAAACCTCTACACTAAAGATCAAGACCAAAACAAATGGAGTGGGAGGAGGAAATTGGAGAAAACAAAATTACACAGGTAGAAGAAAACTTTTAAAAGAGTTTTCAGCAATATCTTAAGAAGATAGTAGTATTATAAGAACAGGATATTATTAAAAAGGGGACATTCTGACCAGGCTTGGTGGCTCATGCCTGTAATCCCAACACTTTGGGAGGCTGAGGCAGGAGGATTGCTTGAGGCCAGGAGCTTGAGACCAGCCTGGTACAACATAGCAAGACCCTGTCTCTACAAGGAAATTTAAAAAATTATCAGGGCATGGTGGTGCACACCTATCGTCCCAGCTTCTCTGGAGGCTGAGATGAGAGGATCACTTGAGCCCAGTATTTTGAAGTTATAGTGAGCTATAATCACGCCACTGCACCCTAGCCTGGGCAAGAGCGAGGATTTGTCTCTAAAACACACACACACACACACACACACACACACACACACACACACAAAGGGGACATTTAAAAAAAAAAACTCAATCCAAAATCATAGAAAATCCTTAGGAGAGAAAAGATGCTTTCAAGAAAGTCCAGGAAGTTCAATATCTAAAAAAAGAACAGAAAACAGAAAGGGACGAAATAATCCACAGAATATTCTAGAAAATTTCCCAGAACTGAAGAACATGATTTCCAGATTGCACAGGAGGTCCAGCAAGTGCCCAGCACAAGGATGAAAATAGACTCCTATCAAAACTGTGAAATTTCAGAATGCTAGAGCCACTGATCCTACACACTTCCATAGAGAGAAACAGTTCCTGTATAAATAAACAGGATTCAGAATGGTTTCAGATTTCTCAACAGCAATACTGGAAGCTCTAGCTTCTGGGACAATAGATAGATACCTTTAAAATTTTGAATGGAAATATCTTCCAGGCTCGAATTCTACCCTCAGTCAAACCATCAATGAAATATGAGGACAAAATAAAGGCATTTAGATATGTATCGTTTCAGTTGCTCATTAGGACATAGAAAACCATAGGAGATCGTTATTGTCATACAAAGAGGAAAGGCTGAAAAATCTACAAAATCCTAAACTGTTGTGCGGTGGGTGGGGGGAGCATCAGAACTGAGGTCACAATGCAACCTGAATTCTAAAAGGAAGGAAGGCGCTCCAAGAATGGAAAGGCCACTTATCTGTTCTACTTCTGGCACAGGAGCAAGACATGGTCACCCAAAAAGCAGTTTTAAAAATGGCATTTTGACAAGTTTTTAAAGACCAAGGTGGGCTAGCCTCACAGCTTGCTGAGGGAGTCCACATCCATTCACCAGCTCTTTTCTTCAAGCCTGCCCCGGTGCTCTCGAGAGAGACTGTGGCCAGGGCAGGAGATCTTCAGAGGCGCAGGCACCCAGGGCAGCAGGACTAACTAGAGAGGCCCAGCCATGCCCTGCAGGAGTACAAGATGGTGATCAACTGCCAAAACGTGCCTGTCCCCCTGGACCCTTCTCCGACAGGAAGCCAAAGCTGTCTGCCCCTCCCACACTCTCACCCTTGTCCCTGCCTTGATACAAGCAAAAGTTGCCTGCCTCTAGGGCAGGGATAGAACCTGCTCCCTTCACTCGGCACTGACACTAGGCGAATGCATCTTATTCTGTGGAAGGGGAAGCAAACCCCCTACTGCCAGATATCCTGCACTGATACAAAGCTGGTCTGCAGGTGCTGGAGGAGGGCAGGACGCTACACCCAAGACCTACCACAGACACTCACGCAGAATGCAGCTGCCACAGGTTAGGGCCAGGAACCTAAACGCACCCCTAAGTTGGAGGCAACGATTATTGCCACTGGAGAGGGAGCACAGACAGCGAAAGAGCAGGAATGCTGACGCTCAGACACATGGGGCCTAAATACAAGGCTGCAGTGGAAGAAATGAAAAGCCCCTGCCTCATCTCTTGCACCAGGGAACAAGCATCAGCAGTCTACCCCTGAGGGAGGGACGAAGCCTTGGCTGAAGACCTCCATCGGTGGCACAGGCCTCCCAGGCTGGAGAAAAACCTTTCGAGACTCCAGGCTTCAGCTAAGCAAGTAGCCACAAAATCTGGGAAAAGTTTGTAAAGTGCACTGAAAACAAATACAGCAACCAACGCCAAACCCAGCTCAACTACAAACTAGACTAACTCAATGCCACAAAGTAACGGTGCCTATCCCAGGCAGAAATATTTACTTCCATCTCTACTGTTATTATAGTAAGACATAAAAAAAAGCGACTCCATAGCCAAACACTACAACAGAAAACAAAGCCAAACTTAGATGGTCCAGGTATCGAACTTGCAGATAACTATAATTGATATGCTAAAGGATCTTGTGGAAAAGGTAAACAATATGCATAAACAGATGAGCAGATGGGGATTTTCAGGAGAGAAACTCCAAAAGCGTCAAATGGAAATGAGAGAAAAACATGATGGCAGACATAAAGGAGCATTTGATGGAATTATCAGACAAACAAGACCTTAAAAAAATCCTATTTCAGGAAACTGCTAGAGAATGCACTGCACTGACACAAGTGAGTAAAGCAAAAAAGAGGAAGATATGAACTACAGGAAATGAGACTCAACAGAACACCCAGGTGAAGGGAATCCCGGGGTAAGCGTGAGGTCTGTGCACCAGGCACAGGGAGAAACCTGCGACATCTGGGCATGTAAGGGGACTCTGGGAGAAACTTCTTCAGGAAAACCTCTGATGATCTGATTTTGTAGAGGAAAGATTTAGTCAACTGGTTAAGAATTTAAGGAGGAATTCGTGGTAAGTATAGAAAGAACCGAACACATTTTAAAACGTCAAAATCATATGAAAAACTTGCAGGAAGAGAAAAATGATCAGTTTCCTACATAGATCACCTGCAAGCAGCATTTACAGTCATAATTTTATAAATGCTGAACACACATTTAACCAAAATTTTAACTGTGACAATATATTTTATGATATAACTAAGATATACTATGTCAAGACATAGGGGTAAATCCCCTAATATTCCGTTAAGAGGCCACAGGATTTGCTTTCTGTAACAGAGGAAATGGGAGTTGCAGGAAGCATGGAAGCACCATTGCTTATCCCTAAAACTGCAAAATAACTGGCCGAGCGCGGTGGCTCACGCCTGTAATCCCAGCGCTTTGGGAGGCCAAGGCGGGCAGATCACCTGAGGTGAGGAGTTTGAGGCCAGCCTGACCAACACGGTGAAACCCCGTCTCTATTAAAAATACAAAATTAGTGGGGCATGGTGGCGCATGCCTGTAATCCCAGCTACTCTGGAGGCTGAGGCAGGAGAACCGCTTGAACCCGGGAAGTGCAGGTTGCGGTGAGCGGAGATTGTGCCATTGCATTCCAGCCTGGGCAACAAGACCGAAACTCCATAAAACAAACAAACAAACAAACAAAACTGCAAAATAACAGACTCATGTAAATAAATGAATGTTTTAATTTTTGATGATTTAAAAAATGTTTTCCAGTGAAAACTCTCAGGGATGATCACACCTATCTGTGGACTGTTCAAATATTTACTCTCTAATGTTTTAAAATTACTTGAAAATATAACCTCATAACTTCAGCCAAACAAAAATCCTTTACCTGTAATAAATGGTCAGCTACCGTTGAAAAAGTAGAAATATTCTATTGAGACAATTTTGAGTCAATCTACTTTGTACTTGACAGTTTAAACCCAAATTTAACATGAGTGAAGTCAAACCAATCAACAGTAACGTAACAACTTGAAGGGAGGCCTTGCTGTTTCATTACTCTTGCACATAGTAGGGAGCAAAGCTCAAACAGTTAAAAAATAAAATCTGATTCATTCTATTAAATCAATGGCAAAAATACACTCAAAAGGTCGACTTAAGAAACATGTTTAACAAATATTAGTAAATCCTGTTCCTAATTACCAGGGGAAATTTCAGAAGAGTGTGATGGCCTCTATGACGCTTAATTCTAACACTCAACACTCAATTCACTAATTCACTGGTCAGTACAGATAAATAACAAATAATTTTTCTTTCAACTTGATAGATATCAACCGTTTCTATTGGGTTGAATCTACCATGATATAGTGCAGATTTGGGTCTGTAAAATCTTGCACGGGCTCCATTATCTTCCTAAACTATTCCAGGGGTGCTGTATTCCACCGGCTCTGGGTTAGAACGTTCCCAACCGCAGTGATTTGTGACTTCAAAGAACACCCTCGAGAAGGGGTTCCAAAGGTTTTCAGGCTTTAGGGGAGCAACGCGGAATAACCAAATTCTGCATGGATCGGAGTGACGACCCCGATAAGCTAGTTTTTAGAAGCAGGAAGACTCCCCTCTGGGGCAGCCAAGTAGGTAGCACTAGGCTGGGGGGCAAAGAGGCAGGTACCGTTTCCTTCCTGGGGCCCGCAGGTGCAGTCGGCCCCCAGCTCCGCCGACACCTCCACCGCCCTCTGCAGCAGGTAGCGCGCTCGCTTGCGCGTCAGGGCGTCCGCCTGGCCCAGCCCCGCCTGCACCGTCCTCCAGAAGCGCCAGCAGCGCCGGGCGTCCGGGCCCGCCTCGCGCGCGCCGCGGGCGCGGTCGCCGCCGGGCTCGGGCAACAGCTTCTCGGCCAGGGCGCTCAGGACCAGCAGCTTCTCCTCTACGCGGCCGGACCCCAGGGACGCCCCAGGCGCGGCCAGCCCGCCCCACACGGCCCGCAGCGCCGCCCCGCCACATTGGACCAGCACTGGCAGCAGTCGCCCGGCCACCAGCGCCGCCGCGTCCTCGGCAGGCCCGGCCTCATCCCCGTCCCCGCCCCCGCCCAGCGCCAGGGCGACGGCGGTCCCCGCCACGCGCTCCAGTAGCGGCCCGTCCTCGCGGGGCCGCAAACATGGCCCGACGGCTGCTAGCACTTCCACGGCAGCCTCGGCGCCAGGCGCGCGCCACCCGGCGAGCAGATCGCGCAGCGCCTCCTCAGCCAGCGCGGCCGCCAGCTGCGGACGCCCGGCCAGGCGGACGCACGAGCGCAGGGCCGCGCCCGCCGCCCTCAGCACGCGCCGGCGGTGGCGAGGCTGCAGACTGGGGTCCGGGCCGCCCGCGGGGCGTCCGCGCAGGCTCCGCAGCAGTGGCACGAGGTACCCTGCAGCCACCTCGCGCGCCGCCTCCGGGAGCGCGCCTGCGCCCCCGCTGCCGCGCGCCTCCTCGTCCTCGAGCCGCTGCAGAAGGAAGCGCAGCGTCTCCACGCGCTCCGCGGATGCCTCCCCTTGGCACAGCGCCCCAAGCAGGGCCCGGGGGTCCCGGCTCTGCGAGAGCAGCGCTTCCGCGAGCACCCACTCCATTTGCCGAGCGCCCGCGCCACCGGCCCGGGCTCCCAAAGGAAGGCGCCGGCGTGTGCGATGCGTGCGCACAGGACCGGCCGGCCCCTACGTGCGCGTGCGCCGACGGAGCCGGGCGCGCGGCCGCAGAGAGGGGGATCCCAGCCCGGCTTGGTGCAGCTCAGCTTCCCTTGGGTTCCTGCCACCAACCCTGCCTAGATAGAACCCACCTGGTCTCTTATTTTTAGGAGAAACGAGGCCTTCGTTAAAAGTTAATGTAGTATCTACACCAGCTTCATCGATTCCTGATTGGAGGTTGGTCTGCCCAGGACCCTAAATCAGGCGTGCCTGTGAGCATAAACCAGTTCACAGAAGGTGCACAGCAGAATCACTTTAGATTATTTTCCAAACGTTGCATGATGGGCACCATCCACAAAGAGACTGACACAGTAGGTCTGAAATTGGTTCTGGACATCTGCATTAAAAATAAGTCATGAAAACACAAGAATGATTTAGACGTAAGGCCAGGAGTGAGAAGTGTTACCGGTGGAGGGTGTCCAGGTCCAAGAATTGGACAAAGCGCACAAACAAAGCAAAGACAGAATGAAGCCACAAAAGCAGAGATTTATTGCAAAAGTACACTCCACAGGGTGGGGGCAGACCCAAGCAAGCCGCTCAAGGGGGGCTGGTTACAGAATTTTCTGGGGTTTAAATACCTATAGAGGTTTCAATTGGTTACTTGGTGTACACACTATGTAACTGAAGAGGATAAAATGAAGTTACAAAGTTATTTACTTGGTGTACTCCCTATGTAAATGAAGAGGATATTTCCTGTCATAGCTGAAGTGTTTCTATCTGATTTGGTTCTAGGGAGTTTTTGGATTCCCTGCCTCCAGGCCCTATTCTCCTGCCTTAGAGGTACCTATAGCAATGTGCTAGGATTCAGCTAAAACCAAGATGCCCACGCCAGCCCTCACAGCCAAGTGCCCAAGATGACTCCAGGATGCAGAGCCTCCTGCACAATGCATGTGCTCCCATGTGCAAACTCAAAAATAGTCCCTGTGTCTGTCTTTTCTGTATTTCTGACAGCATCCATTGCTAAATAGAGAAACAGAAAACCTCACCTCGGCATGCATGGTGTGGATTTGGTTCCTGGCTCAATTTGAGACAAACTAGATCAGTGACATAGGGTTTTCTTCGCTACTAAACACAAAGATCTGCCTCTTAGTCAATAGAGAAAACAGGGTCCCAACTTCAAAGAGCTTGACATATAATAACATAATGGATAAGACAAAAATTAGTTATTTAAATTTACAGTTATTTTTATATAAAGTTATCTGACTTTAAGGTTATCTGACATTACACAGGCAAGACTTTTTTCATATTTCAGTCATTCCGTTTTTCATTGACAAAATGCATAAATGTTTCTATTTTAAGCCCTTTTAACATGTCAGTAAATATCAATTACCTTCAACATAAAATGTGCAGAAAACTATTGTTTCTGTCAACATATATCTAACAAATATAAATGGGTAAATGTCTTGAGCACTTAACAAACGAAGATACACAAATGATAAGCACTTGGAAAAGTGTTCAACATCATTAGTCATCAGAGAAATGCAAATTAAACCCACAATGAGGTACCACTTCATACTGATGAGAATGGCTAACATGTAAAAGCTCGAAAACACTAAACGGCAAAGACCAAGGGTGTGGAGCAACTGGAATTCTCATACATTACTGGTGGGCATGAAAACGGTACAGTCACTTTAGAAACTGTTTCTCGTAAAGTTATAATATAGCTGCTTTATGATTCAGCGATTTCACCCCCAGGTAATTACCTAAAATAAATGAAAACATGTTTCAAAAAAAAAAGCTTGCAGAAGAATGTTTTTGACAACATTATTCGTTATAGCCAAAAGCTTATAACAACCTAGTAGGTGTTAGGTAACAACCTACATGTGCATCAAATTGAAGAATGAATAAAAAATTGTGATCTATCTATATAATAATGCTCCCAGCAATAAGACAATGAATTGCTAATCCGCTTTACATGGATAAGTCTCAGAAACAATATGTTAAACAAAGGAAGCCAGTCACAACGTTTACATCCTCGTGATTTCATTTATATGAAATCCAAGAAGAGACAAAAGTAATCTGAAGGATAGAAATGAGAACAGTAGTTGCATATAGGGAGTAGAGATTTGACTAGAATTGGGCACAAGGGAACTTTCTGGGGTGATGAAAATATTTTATGTTGATCAGGGTGTTGTTACACATTTGTCAAGACTCCTTGAACTGAACCCTTAAGATCTATGCATTTCGCTCTGCAGAAAGTTTACCTCAATCAGCCGGGCGCAGTGGCTCACACCTGTAATCCCAGCACTTTGGGAGGCCGAGGCCGGTGGATCATGAGGTCAGGAGATTGAGACCATCCTGGCCAACATGGTGAAACCCCATCTCTACTGAAATACAAAAAAATTAGCTGGGCATGGTGGTGCACGCCTGTAATCCCAGCTACTCGGGAGGCTGAGGCAGGAGAATTGCTTGAACCCAGGAGGCAGAGGTTGCAGTGAGCCAAGATCACACCACTGCACTCCAGCCTGGAGACAGAGTGAGACTTGGTCTCAAAAAAAAAAAAAAGAAAGTTTACCTCAATCTTGAAAAATGACTTATACCAAAAAACAAAACAAAACAAAACAAAACAAAAAAACAAGTTGGCCTATGTGTTTTATTCTCTGTTGCCTTCAGAGTAAAGCCTAACTGCAGAGCACAGCATTGAAGGCTTATTGGGATTGGGGAAAAGCCAGCTGGCCTCACAGCCTGACTCCCCCTTCTCTGCCCCAGGTCAGGCATGTGGAACTCTCCTTCTTACCCACAACATGTTTGCACTGTCTTCTCTCCCGGAATATTTCCCGCAACACCACTTTTCTGATTCACCAATGTGGGCAGCGATTCCTAATTGCCAGAGCTGCCCTTTTTCGTTCTTACCTGAATGGACTCTGTGGAGTATTTCCTATTTCTTGAAACACTATCTCACTCTGGTTTTCATCGATGACTTTGTCCTGTTCTTTCTTTTCTCTGCTTCCTCAGCTGTTTCTTCTCCCTTTCTTTCAGCATCTTATTTTTCCTCCTGACCTGTCCATAGTGATATTTCCAGGGTTTTATCTTCAGGTCTCTCTTCTCCTCACTCTGTAAATTTTCTCTGAATAACTTCATTAACACTATAGATCTGATTACCATTTACATGCTAATGATGAAAAAGTCTGTATCTCCAGCCTAGGTCTCTCTCCTGAGACTTATCCTTAGGAGATAGCTCGAAACCTATTTCTCCAACTGCCTACCACACGTCTTCATTTGAATATTATTCAGGACATCATTCTCAGTCTCCACTTTTACAAATCTAACTTCATTCCCTTCATCCCTTCACCCAGCATCATTACTCCCCACCGATGTTCTTCTTCCCAGGAATTCCCTGTTTAGGGAAATGGCCATCATTCCCAAGTTGCCCAAGTCAAAAACCTGGGAACCAATACACTTCCTACTTGATTCTCACATGCAATCACTCCTCAAAGTTTCCATGCAACTTTCTAAATCTCTCGGTGATCCCTCCTCTCTGTGCCCCACTAATACCTTACTTAGTTTTAGACCCTCCTCATTTCTTGCCAAGATAATAGCAATCACCACCTACCCCACTCCCAGCTATATCACATTTAAGTAACGCTTATCGAGTGAATAGCCATCTCCTACTCCTTTATGAAGACCCAAATTTCAAGGCATCTCTCTAAGAAGCCATTCCTAGTGCCCCTGGTCGTGTAATACATACTCCGTATTGGTACTAGGATGATCTTCCTAAAATTACATCATTGGCTACCCAGAGCCCTCAGAATCATGGTTGAGTTTCTTAGCATATCATCCAAGATGCCTCAAGATGGAATGCCTGCCTAATTCTCCATCTTCACACTCCTGACAAGCCCCATTTACACCTTAATTTTGAAGTCCCTAAAACATGTGTGCTCTCACTTTTCTTTGTGTTTTTTCAAAAAAAGCCCTTCTCTCTTTTGGAAAGCACTTACCCCTTCTCCACCTGACTTTTTTTTTCTTTCAAGACAAAGTTCAAATGTTATCTCTCCAGAAAGTCATTTCTTAATACCTTTCTCCTGCTGCTAACACCCCAGTTAAATTAGGTGACCCTCTTTCAAATTCCCCAAACATCCTGGCATGTCACCAACACAGCAATGGTCACACTGTGTTGCAATTGCAGGTTATTTCTCTGCCCCCTACTCCTCCTCTCTAAGCAATTTGAGGGCTAGGCATGGGGTATGAGGTTTTGTCTGCTATTATACTCATGCCAGTACCTCATCTCAGACATAGCACACTTCAGTAAAGCTTTTTTTTTTTTGTAGATGGAGTCTCGCCCTGTCACCCAGGCTAGAGTGCAATGGCGCAATCTCAGCTCACTGCAACCTCTGCCTCCAGGGTTCAAGTGATTCTCCTGCCTCAGCCCCCAGTGCAGCTGGGATTACAGGCACCCACCACCACGCCCAGCTAATTTTTGTATTTTTAGTAGAGACGGAGTTTCTCCAGGTTTGCCAGGCTGGTCTCAAACTCCTGACCTCAGGAGATCCACCTGCCTCGCCCTCCCAAAGTGCTGGGATTACAGGCGTGAGCCACTGTGCCCAGCCCAGTAACACTGAGTGAATAGCCATCTCCTCCTCTATGAAGACCCAAATTTTAAGGCATCTCTCTAAGCAGCCATTCGTAATGCCCCTGGTCATAACTTACTTCTATTTCTGTATTCTCCAAACTTTTTTTTTTTTTTTTTGAGACGAAGTCTCACTCTGTTGCCCAAGCTACAGGACAGTGGCACGATCTCGGCTCACTGCAACCTCTGCCTCCCAGATTCAAGCAATTCTCCTGCCTCAGCCTCCTGAGTAGCTGGGATTACAGGTGTGCACAACCACACCCAGCTAATTTTTGTATTTTTAGTAGAGATGGGGTTTCACCATGTTGGCCAGGCTGGTCTTGAACTCCTGACTTCAAGTGATCCACCCACCTCAGCCTCCCAAAGTGTTATAGGTGTAAGCCACTGCGCCCAGCCTTCCTCAAACTTTTAATTGTAGTAATAATAATGGCTAATCGTTACCACACTTATTAAAGACCAGACATGGTAATATCTATCTGTATATATATTATTGCACTTCACCCTCAAAACAACTCATAAACGAAGTGTTTTTACTTTTCTTATTTTACAGATGAGGAAACTGAAAATAGGAGAGGTTGAGTTACTTGCCCTGATATTACAGGATGAAAAAAGCAGCAGAGCTGTCTGACTCAAAGGCTGTGGTATTTTCTGCAATACCTCCAAAACATCCAGAAAGAAAAATATACAATTGCCACGTCCAGTGTACTGCCTGTAGAAATTCTAGATCATAGATGTCTAGCACATAGTAGGTACTCAGTAAATTATGGTTGTATGAATGGATGGAGGTGTAGTTTCTGCAACTACTTATGTGCCCCTTAAGAACTGGGATTTTGGCTGGGCGCGGTGGCTCATGCTTGTAATCCCAGCACTTTGGGAAGCTGAGGTGGGTGGATCATTTGAGGTCAAGAGTTCGAGACCAGCCTGCCCAACATGGTGAAACCCCATCTCTACTAAAAGTACAAAAACTTAGCCAGGCATGGTGGCATGCGCCTGTAGTCCCAGCTACTCTGGAGGCTGAGGCAGGAGAATCCCTTGGACCTGGAGGCGGAGGTTGCAGTGAGCTGAGATTACCCCACTGCACTCCAGCCTGGGCGACAGAGTGAGACTCCATCTCAAAAAAAAAAAAAAAAAAAAAATACCCCCCCCCCGCAAAAAAATTGGGATTTGGTTTTAATTCATTTGTATACTAAATATCAACATTATTACCAGAAGCATGTTAGTTACTCAATAAGTACTTAACCTGGATGAATAAAAATTCAGCATTTTATAGTGATAGAATTCTAAGTTAATCAGCTGGAAAATTTCTAGTGACATAATTACCCTTGAAACATGAACATTTGCAAGCTGAAATCGTTGTGGCCTGGTTCAACATGAAACAATACGCAGCTTTGATACACAGAGGCGATCCAGCGTGTGAACAGCCAGCTACCCCTCCGCATCCTCATGGAGATGAATAGTTGCATTGGAAGCCATATGTGAATAGGATTTAGAATAGTTTTCTTTCCTCATTCCTTGCAATTTTCCTGCTTCATCCATAGATGAATTAGGGTCGTGACTGTTATTTTAACATCAAAAGCAGGTGTACTATGGATGAGTGTCTGAGTTTTCCTCCCTTTAAAGTAGTAGAGTTTAGTTACTTCAGTCTAGCTCACGTATCCCTTACACCAGGGGTCCCTAACCCCTGGGCCATGAACCGCTACCCCTCCGTGACCTGTTAGGAACCAGGCTGCACAGGAGAAGGTGAGCTGCAGGCGAGTGGGCATTATCACCTGAGCTCCGCCTCCTATCAAATCAGCAGCGGCCTTAGATTGTCTTACCACCTGAGCTCCGCCTCCTATCAAATCAGCAGCCACCCCCACCTTCCCGGCTCCATGGAAAAATTGTCTTCCACGAAACCTGGTCCCTGGTGCCAAAAAGGTTGAGGACTGCTGCCGTACACCCAAAGTCAGCCGCATCCTCTGTTTCCTCGGGCAACAAATATGTACAGTTTTTAAAAAGAGGCCTGTGCTCTGGGCACGGTGGCTCATGCCTGTAATCCCAGCACTTTGTGAGGCCGAGGCATGCGGATCACCTGAGGTCAGGAGTTCGAGATCAGCCTGACCAATATAATGAAACCCCGTCTCTACTAAAAATACAAAAATTAGCCGTTCATGGTGGCATGCACCTGTAATCCCAGCTACTCGGGAGGCTGAGACAGGAGACTCGCTTGAACCCAGGAGGCGGAGGTTGCAGGGAGCCAAGATCGCGCCATTGCACTTCAGCCTGGGCAACAAGAGCAAAACTCCGTCTCAAAAATAAAAATCAAATCAAATCAAATCAAATAAAAAAGAAGCCTGTGCTTTTGTCATCCTGGATGGGAACGTCCAGCAGGGGCCTCCGAGAAGTCATTTTCTGCCCTGAGATCCCTCCTCCACCTCTGCATCCCACAGCTCTGACTACACTGGTTCCAACAAACTTAGAATGTAGAGGTGTTATTGACTACACCTTATATTTTAAAACTCACCATAAGGTGTCTAAAAATGGCTTTTTATTTCCTTCTGATCTGAAATGGTGCACCTATAGATGTGATTGCTCTGCTGCATCTCTGACTTTAATTCTGACTCTTCTCACTTTCCCAACTTGAAATGGACACTGCTTCCTTCTTAGTAAGGGTAATGGAGAAAGGAGCAAGAGTAAAAGGGAAATAGAAAGCATAAGTCAGGGAAGCTGATCCAGATAAATGTTCTTTCAAATGTCTCCTTCCTTCACGAGTGTTTGCATGGGGCCAGCCATGGTGGCTCTTGCCTGTAATCCCAGCACTGTGAGGCAGAAGCAGGAAGATCCCTTGAGGCCAGGAATTTGAGGCCAGCCTGGGCAACATAGGGAGACCCTGTCTCTACCCCAAAAAAAGAAAGCTGGGTGTGGTGGTATGTGCCCGTAGTCCCAGCTACTTGGGAGCCTGAGGCAAAAGGATCACTTGAGCCCAGGAGATTGAGGCTGCAGTGAGCTGTGATTACACCACTGCATTCCAGCCTGGGTAACAGAGTGAGACCCTGTCTCTACAAAAAAGAAAAAGAGCATTTGCATGGACTCACTGTTTGGGATTTTCAAGGCACACACTGCAGGTGCTTAACAGTCTTTTGTAATACCATGAGGGAAGCACTGGGCAAGGGCGCCATGGCACTGTGAGGGCTATAGGACTACGTAATGAATGATAACAATGTTGACCTGAGAGAGGTACACAGAGCTCCAACCCCACTGAAAAGATGCTTCTTAAATGCACAAATCTTGCATGCGTTCATGGTCCAGAATGCACAGGCAGTTGCATAACCAAAAACTAGCATCTGTTCAGAAGCTGACATTTCTCTGGACATTAGATGGTGCTGTTGTCAGCGCAGTGTGCTTTTTCCATCCTTTCAACTAAATGTTCATAGTTGCAAAGTGGAAAACAAGTATAAAAAGAAAGGAAATAGCAATTACATAGCAAGACTTCAGCTATAGCTTTCAGCTGTTTACGTCTAAGGCTCTAAGAAAGGGAAGGAGATTCTTGATAGGCTCTGTCTGAAATTTTTGCCTTCTGATGTTCCCCCGAAAGCCCTCAGAGAACCTCCGTGGAAAAATGCAGCTGCAGAATCATTAACACGTTTATGTTAAGTGCGATATCTAGAAAACTCAAATTCCCAGTGAGGATCTGTGGCAGACACCATTCATTATTAACCCCACAACCATCCTCCCTTCTCCCTCGCTGTCAAACCCTCATTTTT
This sequence comes from Homo sapiens, assembly GCF_000001405.40. Taxonomy (NCBI): domain Eukaryota; kingdom Metazoa; phylum Chordata; class Mammalia; order Primates; family Hominidae; genus Homo; species Homo sapiens. The sequence goes on from NC_000001.11 coordinate 234,487,528, forward strand.
CTCAGGATGGCAACATACTGGCCCTTGGCCAATGGCTTATGTTTAGGCAGCAAACAGGACAAGCCTGTTCCCTGCTTCTCCAACCATCATTACAAGTCGGGCAATGGGTGCTCTCTGTGTCCTAGTCTTGGACAATGAGACATAAGCAGCAGTCTGCTAGGGATGTGTCTGGGAAAGCTTTTGCTTCTGATAAAAGGAAAGAAACCATTGTTGCCACAGTTCTCCTCTGTTCCTTCCTGCCTGATCACAGAGTGCTCTCTGGACCTATAGCTGCCAACTTGAACCCATGAGAGAACAAGCACGAGATGACAAACACCACAAGAAAAGTCGCAGGGGAGAAAACGCAGAGGGAACCTGGGTTCCTTGAAGCCATTCAACCAATGCTAGCAAATATCTATTTCTTGATAGTCTATAATATGAGAAAAATAAGTCCCTGTTTGTTCAAGCTTCCCTTGTTGAGTTTTCTATATTTCTCTCTGGTACAGGACTCCCACCCAGTTGCTTATCATTTAGTCCTGCTAGCTCCATTAGTTTTGACCACCTCCCGCTTTCCAGGGTTAGGGGCCTCTTCCTAACGGATTGCCACCATCATTTCTGCCTTGAAACTGACATTCACTGTTGCCCAGACTTGATCGTTTAGACCTATAAAGAAACAGAAACCAACAAGTAGAATCACCAGAAATCTTTAATCACTGGGAGACACATGTTCATACTGAATGCCTGGGCCTCACCCCAGACCAATTCATCTAGAAACTCTGAGTACAGGGCACAATCATCTATACATTTTTTTAAGGTTCCACAAGTGGATTGAGAACTGCTGGTCTTACTCATACGTTCCCCACTCACATGGCAGATATGCATAATAAATTGCCAAGGAAAGGAGGGAAAATAGTTAAGTATTGGGATAAGCCATCCTTTCAACATTCAGCAAATCATTCCATTATATATAGATACTGTCTCACCTTGGCTTGGTCGGCCTTGCTCTTTGGCTGATGGACATAAAGAGAAGCACGGACTACTTAGAGGTTCACTGGACTAACCAAAGGGAGGAAAGGGTGGCCCGCCCAATCTCATGGTGTCTCCAAGACCATGTTCATATCATACTGACTGCTTCTGTGTGTGTCGCCTGAGACTCCAGTAAAACTGCTATGAACAATTGGAGTCACCAAATTTCCCATCAGTTTGTCTTTTAAACACAATCTAAAAGCATTTTAAAAAGAAAAAAAAAGTTCTTATTTCTGCTACTAGCTACTTTCATTTCCTTTTTTTTTTTTTGCTTTTCTGCAAACAAACCAAAAAAAAGCCTATGCTTAAGTGGGCTGCACCGTGTCAGTATCTGTAAGGTAATCCATGGAGGCTCCTTCTGGTCCTGGGTCTGGCTTCTTTAGTCTTCAGTCAAATCCATAAGGGTTTGGCAGGCAGAGAATGCAGGATTAAGCCTGCCCATCCAGCCTGCTTCTGAGGCAAAATCAGAATTCTCAGGCTCTCTGCCACTGTCAGAATCGCTCACTCTTCTGCTTCTGACAGAGGAAAGAGATGGCAATAGATTCAGTCACACAAGGATTCCTGTTAAATGATGAATTGTGATGCCATAGAAGGCCGCACATCACTGCGGGGAGAAGTCAAAGCCCAGGGAGTTCTCGCCAGTGTGAGCACGCCAGAGGGGCCTTTAATAGCTGCATTTGCAATAAAGAAGGAGGTGAAATCCATTACCGGCTGTCTTTATTTTGCTAGCCCACTGATAAGCGATTGAAGTCTAGAGAAAGCGCTTCCAAGCACGTTTTACCTGCTCCATTTAGCCAGAGACTTGGACATATCAGGCCAATCAAATCATCACCAATAGCAGGAGCTACGGAGGTACTAATAGCTTTTCCTGGAATACTGGGAATTCCCTTTCCCTACTTTGTAAGTAGGTATCCTTAGAGAGGGTCTGGCAGAGAGTTTTAAATTTTTGTACCAGGACTCAGAGCCAGAGGGCACTGACTGCCTATTAAGTAGACGTTACTGATTCCTCAGGAGGGTGTGACAGGCTCTTAAGGTGAGCTACTGAAACAGTTTTCAAGGTTTCCCACTTGAGGTAGTGTATGGGTTTTTTTTTTTTCTACTTAGGGCAAAAATGGCTTACACCTCACAAAACAGATGCCATTGGCATCAGTCCCCTCTGCAAGGCAGTTTGCAGGCTTTGTCCTAGTTCTCCTGCAGTGTGGCATCTATGTTTTCTTCCCACTTAAACATGTTGTCTGCTGGGTTCTTTCTTGGTAAATGAGGATGTTTTAGGATGACAGTAACACTATACTGGTGAACTCTTAAGTAAGACAGATTGCCCCCCATAGTGTGGGTGGGCCTCATGCAATCAGTTGAAAATGTGAATAGAACAGAAAGATCAGCCTCCCAAGCAAAGGGGAATTCCACCAACGGACAGCCTTCAAACTTCATCTGCACCATCAGCTCTCCTGGGTCTCCAGGCTGCCAGCCAATAGTGCACATTGGGACTTGCCAGCCTCTATAATCGCATGAGCCAATTCCTTGTAATAAATCTCTTTCTATATACGCATACATCTTATTGGTTCTGTTTCTCTGAAGAATTCTACTACACAAGAGTTCCCAAACTCTTACGTTCTTCTGAAGGCATTGTTTATCGAATGTCATAAAGTAAAAAGGAAAAGACATCTTTGCTGAAAGTGTTGAGATGTTCAGTTTAAAGATTGATGTGTTTTTATTTTTTCATTTTTATATATTATTGTTACTATTATTATTATTATTTTGAGACGGAGTTTTGCTCTTGTTGCCCAGGCTGGAGTGCAATGACACAATCTTGGCTCACCGCAACCTCTGCCTCCCGGATTCAAGCGATTCTCCTACCTCAGCCTCCTAAGTAGCTGGGATTATAGGCATGCGCCACCACACCCAGCTAATTTTTTTTTTTTTTTTTTGTATTTTTAGTAGAGATGGGGTTTCTCCATGTTGGTCAGCCTGGTCTCGAACTCCCAACCTCAGGTGACCCACCTGCCTCAGCCTCCCAAAGTGCTGGGATTACAGGCATAAGCCACCTCGCCTGGCTAGATTGGTGTGTTTTTAAGCTGGTTTTGAGATGGAGTCTCGCTCTGTTGACCAGGCTGGAGTGCAGTGACGCGATCTCGGCTCACCGCAACCTCTGGCTCCCGGGTTCAAGCGGGTAATCTCATATCTTACTAATGATGAGTGGTTTTATTTTTTAAGTTCAGTGTTGCTCCCATCAGCTAATAAATACTTCAATGTTTCTGAGTCTGTAGGAAATAGGTGCTATTTAACTATTTAACTTTTCTCGATCTAGCAGTCAATTAGTCAAGATGGATTTCCGCCTCTGTCTGCTATATACTCCCTGTGCATTTCACAAAAGCCCTGTGACAGGGCAGGTTTATCTTCCTCCCCCTTTCCCTGTGCCAGCACCTACCCAGGCTAAGGAAAATGAAGGGAGCTTGTCATGTGAGCCAGGCATGGGAAGGAGACAGCCAGGTGCGTAGCATAAGGCCGTAAAGGAGATATACCAGCAGGAGGTAGGTTTTTTCAGTGTGAAAGGATGAATTGTTTTTTAGATACTTTACCCAGAGACCAAACCTTGGAAGAAACCTCTTCCTGTTTGCCTCCTCCATCCTCAAAATTGAAGACCTCCTCCCCACTCCTTTACACACACACACACACACACACACACACACACAGAGAGAGAGAGAGAGAGAGAGAGATACACACAGAGCACCCCACCCCTTATCTGGCAGCAGATAAGAACACAAAAAGCCTGAGCATCTTATCAGCAGGAGACCTGAAACTAGACCAAGAAGACTTTGGGGGTAGGTGGAGTGAGGGAGGGGGGCTGTGTAAGCAAAAGTGTTAAAGCACAAAGAAACAGTGAGAGAATGATAATAGTAAGTTATTGCAAAATGTACTGCCCCATCATCCCCACCCAATTCCTTTTGCTAGGAGGAGCAAAATGCTGGGTTTGGCTGTAAAGGAAGTAAAAGAAATAGTCCTTGATCTTATTTGCATTCAGTTTGAAAATCTAGGTATCAGTACACTAGCACCAAATCTAGTATTCTTTGGGCAATTTCTTTTCGTAGCTAGAGATGACACTACGAAAAATATTAATGTCTATATGAATGAGCAGGGCTGTGCAGTTTAGCACTCGACCACAGTTCTCTATAAATACTGATGCCCACCAGTTGGGAACTATAGTGGTGGGTTTGTTTGTTTGTTTGTTTGTTTTGTGATGGAGTTTTGCTCTTATTGCCCAAGCTGGAGTGCAATGGTACAATCTCGGCTCACCGCAACCTCTGCCTCCCGGGTTCAAGCGATTCTCCTGCCTCAGTCTCCTGAGTAGCTGGGATTACAGGCATGCACCACCATGCCCGGCTAATTTTGTATTTTTAATAGAGACAGGGTTTCTCCATGTTGGTCAGGCTGGTCTCGAACTCCTGACCTCAGGTGATCTACCCGCCTTGGCTTCCCAAAGTGCTGAGATTACAGGCATGAGCCACCACGCCCGGCCAGTGGTGGTTTTTGAAGAGCTTGTTGCTGCTAATAACTTTGCCCCCTTTTTTTGTGCCAGGGGCCATCCAATGGCTACACTCAAATGAATTTACGTTGCCTAGGTTCTTAGCAGTTTTCATGCCCCTGAAGATGTAAAAAAGTGTCAAGATCGGTAAGAACAACGTGAGATCCAGCAGATATTGGCATGCCTGTGATGCTCCAGGCACTGTACTGGGGCAGTTACTATCCCTGGCCTCTCCAGGGAGCTTACAGTCTAGTTTATTTTTGTCTGTTTGGCTGCTAGAAGACAATGTCATAGACTGGGTCACTTATAAACAACAGAAATTTATTTTCCACCGTTCTGGAGGATGGGAAATCCTAGATCAGCGCAGTGACACATTTGGTGTCTGGTGAGGCCCCTCTCTTAGGTTGTAGAGGGCTGACTTTTCAGTGTATTCTCACACAACAGAAGGGGCAAGGCAGCTTTCTGGGTTTTTTTTTTATAAGGGCACTAATCCCATTTATGAGGGCTCTGCCCTCATGACCTGATTACCTCCCAAAGGCCCCACTTTCTAATACCATCACCTTGAGGGTTAAGATTTTGACATGTGAATGTGAGGGGACACAACATTCAGTCTGTAGAATAGTCCAAATAGTTTTATGGAAAATTAATAATTTTATTTTTATTTATTTATTTGAGACACAGGGAGACTCTGTCACCCAGGCTGGAGGGCAGTGGAGCAATCTTGGCTCACTGCAACCTCCACCTCTGGAGTTCAAGCAATTCTCCTGCCTCAGCCTCCCAAATAACTGGGATTACATGCACCTGTCACTATAGCTGGTTAATTTTTGCATTTTTAGTAGAGACAGGGTTTCGCCATATTGGCCAGGCTGGTCTCGAACTCCTGACTTCAGGTGATCTGCCCACCTCAGCCTCCCAAAGTCCTGGGATTACAGGCATGAGCCACTGTGCCTGGCCAAATTAATGATTTTATAACAACCACTATGCAAAAGAAGCAAAGAACATGCTGAGAGCCTATGATGAGATGCTTCACCCCAGTCTGTGCAGTAGGACTGGCTTTTCTGATCAATGGTGTTGTCAGAGGTGTTTGAAACAGAGCAACTTTATGTCGAGTAGGGGCTCGGTAAAATGAGGCTGAGACCTACTGGGCTGCGTTCCCAGATGGTTAAGGCATTCTAAGTCACAGGGTGAGACAGGACGTCAGCACAAGATACAGGTGATAAAGACCTTGCTGATAAAACAGGTTACAGTAAATAAGCTGGCCAAAACCAAGAGGGCGACGAGAGTGACCTCTGGTCGTCCTCACTAATACACTCCCACCAGTGCCATGACAGTTTACAAATGCCATGGCAATGTCAGGAAGTTACCCTATATCGTCTAAAAAGGGGATCCATGAATAATCCACCCCTTGTTTAGCATATCATCAAGAAATAACCATAAAAATGGGCAGCCAGGAACCCTCAGGTCTGCTCTGTCTACGGAGTAGCAATTCTTTATTCCTTCACTTTTCTAATAAACGTGCTTTCACTTTATGGACGTGCCTTGAATTCTTTCTTGTGCGAAACCCAAGAACCCTCTCTTGGATCGGGACCCGTTTCCTGTAATAGTGTGTCAGCTGATATCTACAGAAAGAGGGAGTCAACTAGACTAGAATTGAGTAAAAAGCCTCCTCCACCCCCAGGGGAAACTATGTGGAAACCCCAAGGCAGTTGGGAGCAGGGAAGAAGGAGAGTGGGGAAGGCCAAACGAATGGAGTTGACAGAGGAGGCAGGACAGGTGGGCACCCCAGGCCAGGTAGGACAATCAGCCATGAATATCAGACTCATTCTAGGTGGGAAGCGACTGTAGGGTTGTTTGAGGAGAAGAGGGAATGGTGACTGCTTTGATTTGCATGTTCAAAAGTATAACCATTAGGTTGAAAGAGCAGGATCCCAAATGTGTAGGAGAAATCACTCACCAACTCCTTGATTCAACATTCCAGGGTTATTCCTTCTTTTCTTCTTAGAAAAAATTAGTAGAATACACGTAACTTAAAATTTACCATCTTAACCATGTTTAAGGGAACAGGTCAGTGGCATTAAGTACATTCATATTGTTGTGCGACCATCTTGCAAAATTGAAACTCTCTGCCTATTAAAAACTAACTTCTGATTCCCCACTTCCCCAACCCCTGGTGACCACTTTCTCTCTCCTCTATGAATATGACTCCCCTAGGTACCTCATATTAGTAGAATCACACAGTATTTGCCCTTTCGTGACTGGCTTATTTCACTTAATATAATGTCCTCAAGGTTCATCCATTTTGTAGCATGCATCCGAACTTCCTTTCTTCCTAAGGCTGAATGATATTTCATTGTATGTGTGCCATGTTTTGTGTATCCATTCATCCATCAGTGAACTCTCGAATTGCTTCCACCTTTTGACTATTATGAATAATGCTGCTATGGACATGGGTGTACAGACAGACAAGGCCCTGCCTGCAATTATTTTGTAAATATACCCTCAAAGGCTTTTTCTTGAATCCTGATTCTGGGAATTACACTATACTAAACACTATGGGGGTTTAGAAACCTAACTATGACAGTCTCTGACACCCCAAAGAGACAGGAAAATGCCCCCACCCCTCTCTCTGCAGCTTTCAGTGGAGTAAATAAATAAGTGGTGACTGATGTGATTAAAAAGACAGAACTAGTTAACAGGACTGGGTAAGATGCTTAGGTCAAGTCAATAAAAGATGAAGAACCACTGGAGGGTTTTTGTTTGCTTGCTTGCTTGGTAAATTGGTTGGTTAGTTGGTTGTCTGATTTGTTAAAAAATTAAATTAAGTTAAACATAGAAGCACCTGAACTGAATTAGGCTACAGAAAAATCCCACCAGAGTCCATATGTAGGATGAATTGGAGAAGGAGGGGAAACTGGAGACAGAGGGCCTAGAGAGGAGGCTGTGGTAATAGCCCAGACAAGAAAAAATCAGGGTCTTAAATGACACCGTATCAGTGGCCATGGAAAGAAAGGACTCTTTCTTTGAGGTTAGTGCCCATTTGCGATTGGTTGACCCTGATTTCAGCAAGATCTGGTCTCTGAGCCCACAATGTGCCTCTACCTTCTGGACTGTCAGCCTCTGTCAGAGGTAGAACATTTCTTCCCCTAGGGGATCCTTCCATGAAGAAACATCTCCATCTGCTTCATCTCCTGCTTCCTTGTGACCAAATGAAATCCACCCAGGAGAGCTCTGCATCACACACCAACGGTCTCAGGGCTGTTTCCAGCAGCAGCTTTGAAGGACAGCTTCTCCGAGCAGGAACTCCCACTGGGCAACTCAAGAAGCCTCTAGGCGACTCAGTCCCTTTAGCTATTTTTAGTGTGCCTTTTACATTCAGAAACTGGAAACCTTCTGTACAAACTCATTTTTTTTCTGCTTCCCTCAGGCAGAAAGTTTCAATCTTAAACCTTCATGCTAAATGACACAATGTTTGAGAATTTAGCTTACTTTCTTTCCTCATTGTTACCGCACTATTCATACCTCTAAGTATGCAAAGAGCTCTGAATCTTACAGTTCCGGCTCAAGCAGCAGTCAAATTGCAATGAATGAGGTCTCTAACTGTATTAAGACCATGATGTCAAGCTGGGGGTGGGGTGGGGAGGGTGTGCAAAACTATACAGTCATTGAGGGACACAAACTTCAACCTCCACCTCCACCCCAAACACACTACAAAAAGTAATGCCTTAAGCTTGAACATGAGCACCGTGTAAGAGGTCCTCACGTCCAGAGTTTGTCCTAAAAGATCTTTCTTTCCTTTCCTTTCCTTTCCTTTCTTTTCCTTTCCTTTCCTTTCTTTTCCTTTCCTTTTCTCTTTCTTTCTTTCTCTTTCTTTCTTTTTTCTTTTTCTTTCTTTCTTTCTTTCCTCTCTCTTTTCTTTTCTTGTTTTTTTTTTGTTTTTGTTTTTTTTTTTTTTTTTTGAGATGGAGTCACACTCTGTCACCCAGGCTGGAGTGCAGTGGCATGATCTCAGCTCACTGCAACCTCCTGCTCCCGGGTTCCAGCGATTCCTCTGCCTCAGCCTCCTGAGTAGCTGGGACTACAGGCACCCGCTACCACACCTGGCTAATTTTTGTATTTTTTAAGTAGAGGCAGGGTTTCACCATATTGGCCAGGTTGGTCTTGAACTCCTGGCCTCAGGCGATCCGCCAGCCTAGGCCTCCCAAAGTGCTGGGATTACAGGTGTGAACCACCACACCTGGCCATAAAATTTTATTTTTTAAAGAGCATTCTTTAGGAATAGGATATAACTAGCTTAAAAAAAAATCTACTTTAACATCTTATTTGCTTGGTACTATTAAGAATTCTAGAAGAAATTGAGCCATGTGACAGTAGAAACATTAATGTTTCATGTTCCATTTACTTTTTTTTTTTTTTTTTTTTTTGAGACATGCTGGAGTGCAGTCGCATGATCACAGCTCACTGCAGCCTCGATCTCCTGGGCTCAAGCCATCCACCCACCTCAGCCTCCCTAGTAGCTGGGACTACAAGCATATGCCACCATACCCAGCTGATTTTTTTCTTTTTTTTCATAGACCTGAGGTTTCTCCATGTTGCCTAGGCTGGTCTCAAACTCCTGGACTCAAGCAATTGGCCAGCCTCAGCCTCCCAATCATTTACTTTTTCTTACTTGCAGTACCCACTGCAGAAAGTCAGACTACTAACAAACGTCTATAATTGGCTAATCTCTGAAGTACTGGAAAAACATCCAGAAGAATAGGACATGAAGCTGACAACACGCTTCATGAGGAATATGACATAAACTTATCCCCCCTTGCCCAGTTTTTTACTTTGAAAATTGTCAAACATATGGAAAAGTTCAATGAATAGTACACCATTCAAGGGCACCATACTTCACCTAGATTCACTAGTTGTTTATAGTTTACCAATTTTCCTTCTCTTCCTCCATCTTTCCTCCTATATATGTGATGTATGTGTGAGTATTTACAGACACACACACATTTATATTCATATACGCCAAACCATTTGAAAACAAATTGTAAGCATGATGCCACTTCACCTTGTCACACGAACAGCCTGGCTGCTCACACAAAGCCTGTTCGTGGACTCTCTTCACGTGGACGCGCGTGACACACCTTAAGTGCTTTAATATGTACTCCTAAGAGCAAAAACATTGTCTTTTATAATCCCAGTGCCATTATTACACTCAAGAAACCTAACATTGATATTTTAAGGGACACTTTTTCAAAAAAAAGGTAAAATTATGACTCGTACAGATACTAAAAAAAAAAGTTAAAGATTTATTCAATTCATTAATAATGAGGAAACTGCAAGACGCTACTGCCAGTTCAAAAGATAATCCAAAGAAGACACACATTTATTGATAAGGATACTGAAAGGAATAAGCAAACTGAGGCAAAACTGGCTGCTTCTTGTCTGTGGTCAAGGATTGTTTTGCATTGTTATCCATGATCTACAATTTATTGAGTTGTAAAATAACTCAAAGGCCGTGAAAGGTGCAGAGCCCCTATAGGATCAAAATTAGATAACCCTGAAGGGTGGGTGGGTGGGTTCTAGACCTTTTCCTATAAAGGGCTAGATTGTAAATGTTTTTGGTTTTGCAAGCCATATGGTTTTTGTACAGATACTCAACTGTCAGTGAACATGCAAGTAATCTTAGACAATATGTGAAGGGTGAATGCTGCTGTGTGCCAATAAACTTTATTTACAAACACAGGTGGCCAGCTGGATCTGGCTCACTGGTTGTAGTTTGCCAACCCTGCTCTAAACAATGCATAATTTTCCATTGAAGCATACATTTTACCCTACAGATGCAACAATAAGATGTTGTTACGGGCTGAATTGTGGCTCCCCAAAATTCCTTTGTTAAAGTCCTAACCCCTAGTACCTCTGAATGTAACTGTAGTTGGACATAGGGACATTAAAAGGGTGATTAAGGTAAAATGAGGTCATGTTGGTGGGTCCTAACCCAATATGACCGATGTCCTTATAAGAAGAGAAAATTAGGACTGGGCACAGTGGCTCATTCCTGTAATCTCAGCACTTTGGGAGGCTGAGGCAGAAGGATCACTTGAGCTCAGGAGTTTGAGACCAGCCTGGGCAACATAGTGAGACCCCCATCTCAAAAAAAAAAAAAAAAAAAAGAAGAAGGAGAAGAAGAAGAAACAATGAAGAAAAGAGAAGGCAACTAGGACACAGATAGGCACAGAGGGAAGACCATGTGGTAACACAGAGAGAAGACGACCATCTATAAGCCAAGGAGAGGGGCCTCAGAAGAAACCAACCCTGCCAACACATTGGCCTTGGATCTTCAGCATCCACAACCGTGAGGCAATATAATAGCCCTAGCAAACGAATGCAGATGTCTTCCAGTTTTAAAAAGACAGCTACATAATCTTGGGTCAAGTGAACAGGATGCTATTTTTCCTTAAAATTGTTTTATTAGATGCAATATTTGCAAGATACATTTCAAAGGTGGAGATAGGAGGAAGGTTTTGATGTCAAACAAGTTTAGAAACTATAGCAAACTGTAGTTCCTTCTTAGAAATCCACTACATTCTCAGTATGTGTCATGCTCCTGAGATATCCTGCAATCAGGTCTGTTTAACCTTTGCGTAACCCTGACTTTCCCAAACTTTGAATGCCTTTTCAAAAAGAGATACAATTCTGATTAATAACACCATCATTCTTGGAACACACTTTGGAAACACTAGTATGAACAAAATATGAGGCAAATATTCTAAGGATATAAAGATGCCTGTGGACTGAGCCTTGAGAACTGTGGGATTCACAAGGCTGGAAGGGAATACACGCGTTCCAGGTAGGGGCGAAGGGAAGACTCCTGTGGCCCGTCATGTGGCGTCATGATGTGGAAAGCAAGGCACAGAGGGGCCACACTGCCCAGAGCCGAGTGCTTATGTTGCTGTGTGATAGGAAGGCTGGTCCTGAAGGAAGGATCAGTGCCCCCTTGTCAAAGAGAACCTGAGGCTTTCAGTATCCAGTTGTAGAATAAGGAGTGGAATTCGGAACATCTGGCCCTCGGTGTCTTCCTTTGGGGGCCCTGGTGATCACTTCCAGCAGAACTTTATCGCCCGCAATGGGTTCCTTCTATGAGGTCTGTCAATGGGGTAAAAGCCCGGATGGTGCGCCCAATGTCAGCCCGAAGCCACCAGATGGCGCGCGGAACCCGCAATGCACGTGCGCCAGCCTCGCGTTTGTCCCCGCACTGGCCCCAGGCCTTGGGAAATGTGTCTTTCCCCAGCCTTTTTACACTTTAGGAAGCTCTTCTTTAGAGAAGCATGTGAAACACCCCCCTGCACAACTGTGCTCCTCCTGCCCTTCCCCTCCTGGGGACACATCAGCAGCCCTTCCCTGGTTTGAAGAGTTTCCAAGCCGAGGAGTCTCTTGCATGTTTGTTCTACTGGAACTCGAAGCAGGAAGCACTGAGCTTCCATTTTGTAACCCACGATCCTGGTGAAGACAATCGTTAGGGAAAAAACATCTTAAGGATTGTGTGTTAGGGCAACCTCATTTCTGGCGTGAAAACAAGCCCCGCAAACACCCTGTTGTTACTCTGGTGTTCTGACTGCAAACACGGGGGGATGTAAGATTTTTACCTAATCCCAAACCTCGGCCCTGAAGAGTTAATGATGTTACTCATGCCACTGGGGCACAAAAGAAAGACTTGCATGTTCGGGTGGTTATGGCTTGCCCAGAGCGGTGGAATGAGCCATAAGGCTGAAGGCCAAGGGACTCGGGCCACCCATGCAGTGAAATAATCCCCCAGAAATGCGGTGCCGGGAGTGGAAATGAAAGTAAAGAGAACAGTCATTCCAGGGCATTGGCTAAACCTGACTAAACCTGACTGATCATCAAGCCTAAAGTTCTCTCGACTCCCAAAACTGCAAATCTCAGATTTTGGGAGGTACTGCGTAGAAACCAGGAAATGACAGAAATCAAGCAGTTGGAACACTGTTCTTGTCCAACTCTGGGTCTTAAGCTCTGTTCTCATTTTCAGTTCCAAAAGCAATGAATAATTAATAAGGTAGTTTTTGAATGGAAAGCACATTTCAATGGATGAGTGATGATTTCCGAAGGGCCTCTGACAGTTTCTGTTTATTTCCTTCCTTCTTTCTCTTTTTGAAATAAAACCGTGGAAGTGAAGACTGAAGCAATATTCAAATATACAACAGCCTGCATGTTTGACCCATCAGAAACTTGCACCAATAATGAAAAGCAGGATCTAATATCTACCTTGGCACCTGCTGTATGCCTCACACTCTGTTCCGTGTTTTTATGGAAGTGATGTCTCATTTAATCCTCACAGTCATGGCTTGGTAGTTGGCACTGGCCCAGGTTTTTAGATGAGGACTCTAGGCTCCTATGAGGTTAAGCAGCTCACCCAAAGTCACACAACTAGTAAACTTGAGAACTAGGAATTGGAACTAGGTATATCTGATTTCAAAGCCTCAGTTCCTCTTCCTTTGCCCATGCATTTCACAGACTCATGGGACCTCATGGAGTTAGAAGGGATCTGGGAGGGCATTTAGACGAATGCTCTAAATAATGCATGAATCTCTTTTCCAGCATTCTCTGTAAGTTGAAAGCTAAACAAGTGTGAATGTGCCTGAAATCAAAAGCTGAAGCTGAAAAAGAAGTCAGAGAAAGACTTCAGAATTCAGATAGAGGGCCTAAAATACATGTAATAGATTTTGTTCCTATTTTCTCTAAAAGTGGGACAGATGTATATATTTAAGTCTGTGAGAAGGCCAACAATGCACCTAAGGAATGAGTCCAGACTGTTGTTCTCTTAGCCCAGCTCAAACGGGAATAGTTGAAGAAAAATGACTAGGAAAAGAAGGCACGTGCTGGTATGGATGGGATGTCTCTGATATCCTGAAGATATGTGCACTGTAATTCAAAGAGATTCAGAGAAATGCCACTGTTTCAGCATACACATCCTCAGGTCCTGGAATGATAAGGCAAAAAGCTCTGCTCTCCCCCAATACTAGGGAAAGGTAACTAAGTGAGAGCAGGTGACCAGCCTCGGGCCACATAGCAAGGAGGTGGCAGAGCTAGAAATAGAACCAAGTGCTGAGTGTCTTGGTTGTGCCGTGGTGCTGCTCACCCTTGCTACCTCACACATCTTCCGTCATGACTGGCTCTGTGTGAATTTGGAAACTCAAAACCAGGTTTCAGTTTTCATTACATACTGGAAACTTGGCCTTGGATCACAAGAAGTTCACTATGGGGGCCGGGCATGGTGACTCACGCCTGTAATCACAGCACTTTGGGAGACCAAGGTGGGCGGATCATGAGGTCAAGAGATGGAAACCATCCTGGCCAACATGGTGAAACCCCGTCTCTACTAAAACTACAAAAATTAGCTGGGCGAGGTGGCACGCGCCTGTAGTCCCAGCTACTTGGGAGGCTGAGGCAACAGAATCGCTTGAACCCAGGAGGCAGAGGTTGCAGTGAGCCGAGATTGCGCCACTGTATTCCAGGCTGGCGACAGAGCCAAACAAAACAAAACCAAACAAAAAAAAATTCACTATGGTTTGTGAACCTTTCAAGCAAATGGAGCCAGGTTTCTGTCATGCGTCGACCCCCACCAATGCCAGGAGGGATGGATGGATTTGAGTGGGAATCAGGCACAATTCCATCAACGTGGTATTGACATGTCCCGGAGTGCATGCTGGCCTGGAAGGACACCTGGAAACGGGGGCCCTCTACAAATCCCAGGTGCCGTGGAGTCTTTCAGAGCCAGTCAGGGAATAACTTGGGGAGAGAGAGAGAGAAAAGGAGGGAATGATTTAGGAGGTGTGCATATTCATTTGCAAATGAAGTTATGGAAGTTGCTAGTGAGATTTTTATTGGTAATTAAGTGATAATGCCTGTGTAAAGCTGCTAGAGTTGGAATTCCTGTAAAATACTGAAGGGACTGAGGCCCTTTTGAGAAATGTCTTATTGTTTAGCATTTTCAGAAACAATTTAGGTTTCTGTAGTATCTTATATCCTGTAACTAGTAACTCCTCAAAGCATTCTTGCGAGGCAGGTCGCTGGGCTAACCTATTTGTGCACCTCCAAAGATTGTTCATTTACATGTAGAGGGTATGTTAGATGACACCTCTCTCTCTCTCTGTGACACACACACACACACACACACACACACACACACACGCTAGGATAGAGGATCAAATGTCCTTCACATGGCATGGCCAGGTAGAGAGTGTTTTGTTTTGTTTTAAATCATTAAGATCCTGTATATGATTAGCTTGAGATAATCCAGTTTAATTAGTGGAATTAGAGGAATTAGGAAGGATCCAGGTATGGTGACTACTGAAAGACCTTGAAAGAATTTATGTTTGGGGCCGGGTGCGGTGGCTCATGCCTGTAATCCCAGCACTTTGGGAGGCCAAGGCACGTGGATCACTTGAGGTCAGGAGTTCGAGACCAGCCTGGGCAACGTGGTGAAACCCCATCTCTACAAAAAATACAAAAAAAAAAAAAAATTAGCCAGGTGTCGTGGCACACGCCTGTAATCCCAGCTAGTCAGGAGGCTGAGGCAGTAGACTCACTTGAACCCAGGAAGCATAGGTTGCAGTGAGTCAAGATCGTACCACTACGCTCCAGCCTGGGTGACAGAATGAGACTCCATCTCAAAAAAAAAAAAAAAAAGAAAGAAAGAAAGAAAAAAAGAATTAGCATTTGAACTGCTATGACTGCTATGTAAAAAAGTAATCACTTTCTTCCCTTGCTGGCTGGCAGAGGTGGCCCCAACATCCACAAGGCTGGGAGAAAGTATCAAAGGAGAAAATCAAGAACCTGGCCCCAGTTCAAACTGGATAGTAAGCCCTTGATTAATTAATAACTGCCTCTTCTGTAAATATTATTTGATATTGAGAGAGAGACTCACTTATCTACAAATGTGCCTTGTCTGTAGTGAGAGGTCAGCCAGGACAGGTAGGTCAGAGGGTGAAGTCCAAACTAAGCAATTCCAATGTATCAATTTTTTCAAGAGCATACTTTATTGTTGTTAACATATAAAAAGAAAATATGTTAAATTAATACATATCTAATCAAAAGTCTAAAAGAGTAGTGTGCTCACATACCAACCATGCTGGAACTCAGCTCTTATTAGCTACCTGTTCATGTGGGAGGTGGGTACATGTGAACATGCCTGATATAATGTCAGGGTGTGGGCACGCCTCCAAAAGTTAGAGGGTCTGGGCTCCAGGAAGTGGGTAATGCAGCCCTGGGCACTGGGGGAGGAGAGTGAAAAAATGAGCCATTAGGGTCAGAAAGGAAAAGGGAGAGAAAATTTGGGAACAGGAAAGGCGTTTCATTTTAAGCACCTGGTGCTTAATCCAGGATTTTGTAACACATCCTCACTTTTTCTGGAGGTTCCTAGATTATATCCCCTAAAAATACCATAAGTTTCCTAAGCCCAGATGATGTAATAATCCATGTTTCATGGACTTCCCTCTGCCATTGGCTGGTTGTTCTGTTGTTTTCTGGAGAATAAAGTGACTATGGAGATCTTGAAGGTGATGGACACTTAACCAAGGCCTGTTAATGAAAATATGAAGGGTATTTTGGAGATGACTATTTGCTAGGAGTTTCCAGAGATGAACTGAATTGTCGCATTATCTGTACTATTATTAGTCACAGACTTTATCCATTTTTTCCTTCCCTTGTTTAGCTAATTCTAGTACTTCCTGAGGGATGTTAGTTTTAAATTTACTACTGATGGCCAAGACTAAGTTTCAGGCCAAAAATCTTAGTTCTTGCAAGACTATAAAGCCAAGTCATCTTTTGGAATTATCCAAAGACGTATAACAGAGGACAGGAGAAAACAAATGTCACCCACTCATTTAAACACACAAATACACATTTATAATGGCCACCACACACTGAAAATTTACTAGATGAGTGACACTCCACTGTGCCCATTTAATAATGGGATCAATGAACAACTGAATAAACCGATTGCTGTATTTTGATTGCTAGCTCCTCTTTTTTCCTCACTCCTTGTTCCCATTGTCCTTTTAGCTTCTTTATGCTCTGTTTTAGCAAGCTCATCAAAGATTTAAACATCTGCTTTTTGTCAAAACATCTCAAATTTATATTATTTTCTGTGACCTTTCTCCTGTGCCTATAAGATATCTTTACCTATCTGATATGGGTTGGCTGTGTCCCCATGCAAATCTCATCTTAAATTGTAGCTCCCATAATTCCCATGTGTCGTGGGAAGGACCCAGTGGGAGGTAATTGAATCATGGGGGTAGGTCTTTCCGTGCTATTCTTGTGACAGTGAATAAGTCTCATGAGATCTGATGGTTTTATAAATGGGAGTTCCCCTACACAAGCTCTCTCTTGCCTGCTGCCATGTAAGATGTGACTGCTCCTCCTTTGCTTTCTGCCATGGTTGTGAGGCCTCCTCAGCTGGGTGGAACTGAGTCCATTACCCCTTTTTCCTTTATAAATTACCCAGTCTCGGATATGTCTTTTATTAGCAGCATGAGAACAGACTAATACACTGTGAACCCCGAAAATTTGAGGTAGGTCTCGGTTAATTTGGAAAGTTTATTTTGCCAAGGTGAGGACATGCCCGTGACACGGCCTCAGGAAGTCCTGATGACATGTGCCCAAGGTGATCAGGGCACAGCTTGGTTTTATACATTTAGGGAGACATGAGACATCAATCAATATATGTAAGAAGTACATTGGTTTAGTCTGGAAAGGTGGGACAACTTGAAGCAAAGGCAGGAAGACTCAAAGTGGGAGGGAGCTGCCAGGTCACAGACAGGTGATCCATTCTTTTGAGTTTCTGATTAGCCTTTCCAAAGGAGGGAAATCAGATATGCATCTATCTCAGTGAGCAGAGGAGTGACTGTGAATAGAATGGGAGGCAGGTTCGTCCTAAGCAGTTCTGGGCTTGAGTTTTCCTTAGTGATTTTGGGGGTCCAAGATGTCTTCCTTTCACCACACTATCCCAGCCATAACATGAGAGAGAACAGAGCAGAGAGAGAGAGAGAGCTAGTGTGAGCTCTGGCTAACCACTTACTGGCTCAGCCACCTGGGTAATTCGCTGCATCTTTTGGCCTCAGTTCTTTTTTCAGTTAGATTTCATTCTCTGGAACCACATGATGGGTTGCATTGTGTTTCCCAAGAAGAAATGCTGAAGTCCTAACCTCAGTACCTGTCAACATGACCTTATTTGGACATAGGGTCTTTGCAGATGTAGCCAAGTTAAGATGAGGTATGCTGGAGTAGAGAGGGCCCTTAATTCAATATGACTGGTGCACTTACTAAAGGAGGAGAGATGCCGAGACACAGACACAGGAGGGGGCAGGCCATGGGAAGACAGAGATTGAAGTGCTGCAGCTACAAGTCAAGGAGCACCTAGGGTTATCAGCATCACCAGAAGCTAAAAGAGGCAAGAAAGGACTCTCCCCTGCAGGTTTCAGAGGGAGTGGGTCCTGCTGACACCTCGATCTCAGATTTCTAGTCTCCAGAACTGTGAGACAATAAACTTGTGTTGTTTCAAGCCACCCAGTTTGTAGTGCTTTGTTCCTGGCACTCCTAGGAAATGAAGACAGTGCTATGGGGGAGGAGTTGAAGACCCTGGGCTTTGAAATCAGATGTGGATTTGAATGAAGTTTCAATCACATACCAGTTGATGATGATTTGGGCACATTTCTCACTAAGTCTCATTTCTTTCTTGAAACCTAAGTGGCCCATAAAAGGGAAATGATGAAACTAATCTTGTTAGAAGGGCTATTGCAAAATGAAATGAGACAAGGTGTGTATATTAGTTAGGAATGTTTTTATTGAAAGGAGAAATTCAACATGACTCAGTAAAAATGGGTCTTTGGTGTAAGAATTGTGGGATGTCTCAATCCAACTTGGCCCTAGATTCTAACATTGGCAGCTCTTCATTTTTCTTTCCTGCCCCCCTCTGAATATCTGAACACAAGCTTCTTCTTCCATTCCCCTCTCTCTCCCTTCCATTAAACCAGGTGCCTCTACTTTTCCATTCTTCCAAACTTTGCCTCCTACAGCTTTAGCCGCCTGGAAGAAACTAATTTGAACCTCCCTCTTCAATATATACTGCTTGGGTGATGGGTGCACCAAAATCTCACAAATCACCACTAAAGAACTTACTCATGGCCGGGCACAGTGGCTCACGCCTGTAATCCCAGCATTCTGGTAGGCTGAGGCGGGCGGATCACGAGGTCAGGAGATTAAGACCATCCTGGCCAACATGGTGAAACCCCGTCTCTACTAAAATACAAAAAACTAGCCGGGTGTGGTGGTGCACACCTGTAGTCCCAGCTACTCAGGAGGCTGAGGCGGGGGAATTGCTTGAACCTGGGAGGAGGAGGTTGCAGTGAGCTGAGATCGCGCAACTGCACTCCAGCTTGGCAACAGAGTGAGACTCCGTCTCAGAAAACAAATAAATGAACAAACAACAACAACAACAACAAAAAACCGCCTGTTCCCCAAAAACCTATGGAAATAAAACAATTCTTTTAAAATAATAATTTGAACCTCCCTCACCTTGCAAATCCAAAAGTCCAATGGGAGTGGGAGAGATGTAATGGTCCACTTGAAGTCAGATGTCCCACCCTCACCCCAACCAGCTATGCCCAGAGAAGAGGTTTGTATATTCCCAAACGCATTGCGAAAATTACAGGAGACAATATATAAAAATTACTTTGGAGAACTGTGACAAGTGTAGTGTCGTTATTTCCTATTTGATTTGTTATTATTATTTTTTGATAGAGTTTTGCTGTTTCGCCCAGGCTGGAGTGCAATGGTGCCATCTCAGCTCACTGCAACCTCTGCCTCCCAGGTTCAAGCGATTCTCCCACCTCGGCCTCCCGAGTAGCTGGGATTACAGGCTATTTTCTATTTTAATTCATCGCTCCATAATGGGGACTTTCCATCTTTCTGCCTCCTCTACTCCCTCAGCCCTGCCCTGCTGCCCTTCTTTCCACTCCACCCAAATCCTTCCTGGGCTTCAAGTCCTTACTCAAATCTTTCCAATCCACAGCCATAGAAGTCTTCTCTATTTGCAAATTCCTATTACCCTTAGAGTTGATTTCTCTCACAGTTAAGTCCTTAATTGTCTTCTAATTGGTCCTTGGCCTAGATCCTAAGTCACCAGAGGGCAGGAAGCATGTCTTCTTGTGCTCCTAGAGCCTTGTGCTGCTTCACATATTTCCAGGCACTAGGAGGTGCCCCTCTGCAGTGCTGGTCCTGTCCCACCCCCCCCCCGCCCCACCCCAAGGGTTCCTTGGAAGTTGTTGCCTGCAGGCTTCCTCCCCACTGACCTGGAACTCCAGAGAGGCCCCAAGATAAACACAACGAAAGCCCTCAAATCTGCAAAATCTGCAAAAGATTTAGATTAGGGGTGTCCAATCTTTTGGCTTTTCTGGGCCACTCTGGAAGAAGAACTGTCTTGGGTCACATATAAAATACACTAACACTAACGACAGCTGATGAGCTAAAAAAAAATTGCAAAAAAATCTCATCGTGTTTTAAGAAAGTTTCTGAATTTGTGTTGGGCCGCGGGTTGAACAAACTTGATTTAGACCGTGTTACTGCTACTCAAGGTCTGCAGGGCTGTTTCCCTCACATTGCGCATGATGTAACCAGTTCACCTAATTGCAACCGATTTCAACTTCATGCTATTGGATTTGTTTCCCTAAGGTATCAGATTCCAGAAAGGTCCTACTCTTCCCCAAATCAGCTGGGGAGGTGCGCGCAGCCTATTTTCTACCTGCTTTCTGGTTTAGTCTTGCTCAGAAGCCTGGGCAGGCCAAGTGGGTGCTCCCCTGGGCTGATCCTGACATTGGGCCACAATGGGAGATGTGGTGGAGGAGCGTTATTACTAGGAAGCAAATTAGAACCTTTATCATAAGGAGGCAAAGTCTTGCCTGGGAAGAAAAGAGCACATGCTAAGTTAAGGTAAAGAGACCAGGACAAAGAAAAAAAAAAAAAGCTAAACATAAATTGCAAGATGTTCAGGCATGGTGAAACTAAAATAGCTCTTTCTAGATTGTTCCATCAAAAAAATTCAAAATACGATACGTTCATTGAAGCTGAACTTTTGTTCTCTCCCTCCCACCCTTCTTCATTCCTTTCCTTCTTCCTTCCCTCTCTTCCTCTTTCTTTCTGCCCTTGTTTGCCACTTGACTAAGCAAGAACACAGCCACATATTCCAGCTTTCGGCTTATGGAGAGTGCTGGAAAACTGAATCACTCATTATTTAGAAGATTCACCTCAATGACCTCCCAATCCCTCCCAACTCGGAGGTTCTGTGGGTCTATAGAATGCCCTGGTGAAAGAGAAAGAACACAGGCTTTGAAGTCAGACCAGGTATGTCCCATTTCAGACCAGGTATGTCTGACTTCAAAGCTTGTGTTCTTTCCTTTCACCAAGGCATTCCATAGACACACAGAACCTCCGAGTTGGGAGGGATTGGGAAGTCATTGAGATGAAGCTTTTTGTTTGTTTGTTTTTGAGATGGAGTCTTGCTCTGTCACCAGGCTGGAGTGCAGTGGCGTAATCTCGGCTCACTGCAACCTCCGCCTCCCGGGTTCAAGCAATTCTCCTGCCTCAGCCTCCCGAGTACTGGGACTACAGGCATGCGCCACCACGCCCACCCAATTTTTGTATTTTTAGTAGACACGGGGTTTCACCATATTGGCCAGGATGGTCTCGATCTCTTGACCTTGTGATCCGCCTGTCTCAGCCTCCCAAAGTGCTGGGATTACAGGCATGTGCCACCGCGCCTGGCC
This sequence comes from Homo sapiens, assembly GCF_000001405.40. NCBI lineage: Eukaryota > Metazoa > Chordata > Mammalia > Primates > Hominidae > Homo > Homo sapiens. The sequence goes on from NC_000001.11 coordinate 234,508,882, forward strand.
GAAATGAAGCGTCTTAATAATGAGTGAATCCTAGTTCTCATATTTACTAGCCGTGTGACTTTGGGCAAAGTACTTAACCTCTCTGAGCCTAGATTCCTCATCTGAAAGCCTGGCCAGTGCCAACTACCAAGTTGTTGACATGAAGATTAAATGAGAAACTACTTATAACACATGGAGCTAGAATGGAGATGGAAGACTAGGTCCCAAAATCTGCTGCTGGGAAAGCAGAGGAGAGAAGATCAGGCTGCAGAGTGGGAGGTTTATGGGACTGGGTGGGTGAACAGAGGATTTGGCATTGTTGCTTAGAAAAGCTACTTGGGGCCGGGCGCGGTGGCTCACGCCTGTAATCCCAGCACTTTGGGAGGCTGAGGCAGGCAGATCACCTGAGGTGGGGAGTTCGAGACCAGCCTGACCAACATGATGAAACCCCGTCTCTACTAAAAATACAAAATTAGCCGGGCATGGAGGCACATGCCTGGAATCCCAGCTACTTGGGAGGCTGAGGCAGGAGAATTGCTTGAACCCGGGAGGCGGAGGTTGCGGTGAGCCGAGATTGTGCCATTGCACCCCAGCCTGGGCAACAAGAGCGAAACTTTGTCTCAAAAAAACAAAAACAAACAAACAAAAAAAGCTACTTGGGCCAGCTTATTTCCCAGAGCCTGGCCTTGCCCTGTTCTCCCTGCCTTCTTGTGTAGCTGGATTCTTGTGAATAACCCGGGTCTGCCCCCGGGGACTTCCACCACGTGTGCTATACCTCTGAGGCTGCACACTCTCCCACCCAGTGATTTCCCATGGGTTTTCTGCCCCTAACTATCCTGGATCTACCCCAGCCCTATTTAGACCATCTACCTGCTGGCCTTTTTTATTCACTTATTCATTCATTTCACAAAATACTTTTCGGTCCATCTGCCCCACAAGACTTTCAGCTTCTTGCCAGCTCCCCAACAGCCCCACCCTCAGGCTTATCCCTCCCTCCCTGGAGGCTGGCTGCATCAGAGGTTACCTTCACCCGCTGCCAGGAGCAAATGCTGACACTCAGTCGATATTTGTTGACTAAATAAACACATAGAAAAAGACTTTTTAAAAAATTACCACCCCTTCTAGATCCCCAGCCCCCGTTCAGGCTGATGCAATCCAAATTTCTCTGCACCATGATGAGTTCAGTGCTGGCAGCTTGGTGATGGCGCATAAGTAACTAGGTTTCCCAGCTCTCAGGCAGCCATTCCCAGCACCTCTGTGAGTTTCTGATTTTCAACTATCCCTGGGGCTTACAAATGCTAATAGTGGCTCTCTTCACATTACTGTAATAATACTTAGCACTCATGTCCTGACATAAAATCAGTTCAAGTGCTCCCACACCCCCTGGTGAGGTAGGACCCTTATAGCATGCTGCTGTAAAATGAGCAGCTGAAGGTGCTGGGGTGCAGCTAGGGCCACACTTGGCTTTGATCTGAAATACCAATTTCTTTTTTTAATTGCTTTTCTTCCTTGATACATGCATACAAAGTGTAATGATGAAATCTGGGTAATTGGAATATCCGTCACCTCAAACATTTATCATTTCTTTGTGTTGAGAACGTTCCAAATCTTCTCCCTTCTAGCTATTTCGAAATATACAATAAATAATTGTTTAGTCACTCTATGGTGGTATTTTTATTTTATTTATCTATTTTTAATTTTATTTATTTATTTATTTATTTATTTATTTTGAGACAGAGTCTCACTCTGTCACCCAGGCTGGAGTGCAGTGGCGCGATCTCAGCTCACTGCAACCTCCGCCCCCTGGGTTCAAGTGATTCTCCTACCTCAGCCTCCCGAGTAGCAGGGAGTACAGGCACGCACCACTGTGCCCGGCTAATTTTTGTATTTTTAGCACAGACGGGGTTCCTGCATCTTGGCCAGGCTGGTCTTGAACTCCTGACCTCATGATCCACCCACCTCAGCCTCCCAAAGTGCTGGGATTACAGGCGTGAGCCACCGCGCCTGGCCTCTCTCTACGGTGCTATTGAACACTAGATCTTATTCCTTCTATCTAACAGAATGTTTGTACCAATTAACCAACTCTTCTTTTTACATTTTATTGAATTAATTAATTAATTTATTTATTTATTTATTTTGAGATGGAGCCTCACTGTGTCACCCAGGCTGGAGTGCAGCGGTGCGATCTCTGCTCACTGCAACTTCCACCTCCCAGGTTCAAGCAATTCTCCTGCCTCAGCCTCCCAAGTAGCTGGGACTACAAGTGCACACCACCATGCCTGTCTAATTTTTGTATTTTTGGTAGAGACGGGGTTTCACCATGTTGGTCAGGCTGGTCTCGAACTCCTGACCTCAAGTGATCCACATGCCTTGGCCTCCCAAAGTGCTGGGATTACAGATGCGAGCCACCACGCCCAGCCTTTTTTCATTTTAAAATATACAATTGGCTGGACATGGTGGCGCATGCTTGTAATCCCAGCACTTTGGGAGGCCGAGGTGGGTGGATCACCTGAGATCAGGAGTTCAAGACCAGCCTGGCCAACATGATGAAACTCCATCTCTACTAAAAATACAAAAAATTAGCCGGGAGTGGTGGCAGACACCTGTAATCCCAGCTACTCAAGAGGCTGAGGCAGGAGAATTGCTTGAATCCGGGAAGCGGAGGTTTCAGTGTGCTGAGATCACACCAGTGCACTCTAGCCTGGGCAACAAGAATGAAACTCCTGTCTTGGGGGAAAAATGTACAATTAAATTATTATTGACTATAGTCACTCTGTTCATGCTATCAAATAGTAGGTTGTAGGTATTATTCTTTCTTTTTGTACCCATTAACCCTCCTCACCTCCCTCCAGTCCCCAACCAACCCTTCTTGTTTTTTGTTTGTTTGTTTGTTTGAGACTGAATCTCGCTCTATCGCCCAAGCTGGAGTGCAGTGGTGCTATCTCAGCTCACTGCGACCTCCGCCTCCTGGGTTAAAGTGATTCTCTTGCCTCAGCCTCCTGAGAAGCTGCGATTACAGGTGCCCACCACCATGCCTGGTTAATTTTTGTATTTTTAGTAGAGACAGTGTTTCACCACATTGGCCAGGCTGGTCTTGAACTCCTGACCTCAAGGGATCCACCTGCCTCTGACTCCCAAAGTGCTGGGATTCCAGGCGTGAGCCACCGCGCCCGGCCCAACCAACCCTTCTTAATACCGCCCTCCCCACTATGGTTCCCAGCCTCAGATAACCACCATTCTACTCTCTACCTCCAAGAGATCAAATTTTTTTGCTCACATATGTGAGCGAGAGCATGTATTATTTGTCTTTCTGAGCCTGGTTTATTTTTCTTAATGTCCTCCAGTTGCATCCACGTTACTGCAAATAACAGGATTTCATTCCTTTTTATGTCTAAATAATATTCCATGGTGTATGTATACTACATTTCCTTTATTCATCCTTTGAGGGACACTTAAGTTGATTCTATATTTTGGTTATTGTGCATAGTACTTCAATAAATATGGAAATGCAGATATCTCTTCGATATATTGATTTCCTTTCTTTTAAATATATTCCCAGCAACACGATTGCTGGATCATATGGTAGTTCTATTTTTAGGTTTTTGAGGAACCTCCAAACTGTTTTCTATTGTGGCTGTACTAATTTACATTCCCACCAATAGCATACGAGGGTTCCCCTTTCTCCTTATCTTTGCCAGCGTTTGTTAGTTTTCTCTTTTTGATAATAGCCATTCTCACTGAAGCTGAGATGGTGCCTTGTGAAAGGCCAATTTCAAATTACTATATTCTCAGATGTATCTTCATCTGACTCCCCAGCGGCCCCCTGCCCTGCAGGTATTTGCTGTCTCCTGAATATTCAAATGGACAGTCCCTCCCTCAGACTCCACCCAACGGGAGGCCTGGGCTGACTGTCCGGAGGGTGGTGCTTCCCCTTCCTTCCCAGGGCCAAAAACCAAACAAAACCCTGGTAGACATGTGATAGAATAATCATAAATACATAAAATTAGCCATGTAAATTGTGAAACATTAAGTTTCAGTTCCACAGACTGTGAAAATAGCAAAGTTTCCAACAAGGTCGAAAAAGTTAATAAGCACTGGGAGAGATGAACAGAATACCCCCGTGTCCCAGGTGAGAAGAAACCCTGGGCAGGGATGGATCTGACTCATCTGGAGCAGCCCAGAGCCCCCGCAAAGCCGGCCACCCCAACACCTAGCATTGCCTGGAAGAAAATGAGAAACTCCACGTGCCCCAAAGCACCCCCCGGGGTGCTCCCCTCCCTACCAAGTGGTTAAAGACAAAAAAAAAATCACTAAAATGTACATGTATCATTAAATGCACATAAAATGCACCTATATAAGAAGAGGAGGCTGGGTGCAGTGGCCCACACCTGTTATCTCAGCATTTTGGGAGGCTGAGGCAGGCGGATCACCTGAGGTCAGGAGTTTGAGACCAGCCTGGCCAACATGGTAAAGCTCCGTCTCTACTAAAAATCCAAAAAAAACTTAGCTGGGCGTGGTGGCGTGTGCCTGTTATCCCAGCTACTCGGGAGGCTGAGGCAGGAGAATCACTTGAACCTGGGAAGCAGAGATTGCAATGAGCCGAGGTCGTGCCACTGCACTCCAGCCTGGGTGACAGAGCAAGACTCCATCTCCAAAAAAAAAAAAAAGGAGGACTCTATGAGCCTCAAGAAATGCAACTAGGGGCCGGGCGCGGTGGCTCACGCCTGTAATCCCAGCATTTTGGGAGGCCGAGGCGGGTGGATCACGAGGTCAGGAGATTGAGACCATCCTGGCTAACACGGTGAAACCCCGTCTCTACTAAAAATACGAAAAAAAAAAAAAATTAGCTGGGCGTGGTGGCAGGCGCCTGTAGTCCCAGCTACTCGGGAGGCTGAGGCAGGAGAATGGCGTGAATGGGGAGGCGGAGCTTGCAGTGAGCCGAGATCGCGCCACTGCACTCCAGCCTGTGTGACAGAGTGAGACTCCGTATCAAAAAAAAAAAAAAAAAAAAAAAGAAATGCAACTAGTCCTTCTTTCAGCTGCACAAATGGTTCCTTGCTCTCATTCCATGTTTCTCAAACTGGAATACATGTTCAAAGAGGCAGATCCTGAAAGGGACGGGGGCAGAGGAGGGGCGATGGGGATCTAAAAGTACTCCCAGCCAGGGGCAAACTTAGCACATTTCCTGGAGCTTTAGAGTTACTTGTTGTTTAGCTTCTCCACTTTTTTAAAAAAACAACATTTTTATATGAAAACAAATTGGACTAGTATGGAATGAAATGCAAACTTTCCATGAACTTTTAAAATCTAACATCAGTTTTCAAAGAAATCTCTCACCTCTGGCCAGAGAGGTGTATTTATGTCTTCTGGTCTCAGGGTTCCTAGGTGGAAGTTGGAAGATCACTGAATTTGTTTTCATCTCAGAAGATGCAGAGTCTCATCTTGCTGGAATGAGGTTCCCTAGGTGCTGGGGGGTGGGTCAGGGGGTACAGATCAGGGTCAAGCTGAGGATGGCCCAGTGGCAACCCAGAGCTCCCCACTGAGAAGGTGGGCCTCCTCCATGTGGCCTGTGGGTCTTAGCTCTTGGGCTACGGGGAGCAGACCCATGAAAGGCTGGGAGGTGAGCTCCTAGGTAGAGGTGGAGGAGAGATGGAGACAGGAGAGAGGGAGGGTAGCACTGGAGGGGACAGTATAGACAGGGAGCCCTCAGTGACCTCAACAAGAAATCTGTGAACAGTTCTGTTCAAACCCAACCAAGGGATGCTTCAGAATCACAGAGTGTAGGCACCGAAGGGAACTAGAAATATTCTAGTGCAAACCCCTCATTTTACAGTTGGGAAAACTGAGGTTCAAAGCATTCGGCTGACTTGCAGGAGGTCACAAACCTGATTAGTGCCAGAGTTTTATTTTTAATATTAACAAGATTAACAGGATTCTTTGTTGTTGTTGTTGTTGTTGTTGTTTGAGACAGAGTCTTGCTCTGTTGCCCAGGCTTGAGTGCAGTGGCACCATCTCGGCTCACTGCAACCTCCGCCTCCTGGGTTCAAGTGATTCCCCTGCCTCAGCCTCCAGAGCAGCTGGGACTACAGGAGTACGCCACCACACCCAGCCAATTTTTGCATTTTTAGTAGAGACGGGGTTTCACCATGTTGGCAAGACTGGTCTCGAACTCCTGACCTCAGGTGATCCACCTGCCTTGGCCGCCCAAAGTGCTGGGATTACAGGCGTGAGCCACCGGAACCCGGCCAAGATTATCAGGATTCTAAAATCAACTTGCAATGTATACCAGTCTGACAGTTGAGTCAGAAAACATTATCCTGCTGAAATAAAACACATATGAAAAGATAATTGCAGAAAGGAACAAAAGTAGTTTAAAAGCAAAATTATTAAAACCACAGTAAGAAAAAAGAAGGGTTGCTAATCAGATCAGCATTTTCGCCCAACGAGCAACCGAGTTTGTTGTCCCCAGATTAGTTTGTAGGGTTCAAAGCTATTGGATGTAGTGTGAGCTCTAAGAGTTTTTTCACCAAGCAGGATTGAGGACTCCCGGCATTGTCTCTGAAAACATTTTCACGCCATTTTATGTAAAAACAAAACAAAAATACCTTATGCCACTTGACTTTGCAGTGCCTGACTTATTTACCTAGAAGCTAGAAACTTCACCTCATTACAAAGATGCGAGTCAGAGCTACAAAATGCAAAACCAGTGTGAGGAACAAGGGATCCTGGAGAGGCAGCTTTAGCAGTTGGGCAGGGCCTCTTGCAGGAGGTCACCCTGAAGATTTTCCATGGTGTTTTTATGGTAAGGAGGACTGGGAATTGTTGCTCCATAAATATATGTGCTGTGTTCTAACAAAAACCAGCTTTGCAGTGGTTCTAAGGCTGCCTCTGTCTCTGTCAAAAATCCTCAAATGGCAAAAACTAGGTGCTCAGTTTGACTGAACCATGAGAAAAATAAAAGTTCCCATTCAGAAACTGCCTGCTAATTATTCCGGGGACATTCTTCCTGTCAATCTTTTATTAATTATCCAGGGGAAGTGATTCTGTAAAGCAACACACAGTGAAATGATTCATCTGACATAACTTCCTTCATTTTGCATCCAATTGAAACAGTTCCAGAAGCCTCAACTAGCAATAAAGTTGGGAGAAAACTAAACTGAATGCCCTCCAAAAACACAGCCATGTTCTCAGCTGCATTCCACAGCAGAAGCATGGGCTTAGGCAAAAACAATAGGTAAGGACGACATACCTTCCATTTCCCCAGGTGTTTATAATGAATAATGGATTCAACGAAAAAATTCCAATAAATGACTGAATACATTTCCATAACTAATGACTCAAGTGATGAGTAAGAACACTGCAGAGTCTCAAGTATATATTTAAAACACTATAAATTCTAAAAGTTTAAATTATACATTTAAAAATATTATATAGAAAACTTTAAAAATAAAATTTACTGTAATGTTATCACACAATTATACAATTATTATCAATTCATGTTATGTTACTATAATCTATACTTACACTTATGTTATCTTACTATTTCTTTTTCTTTTCTTTTTTTTTCTTTTTTCTTTTTTTTTTTTTTTTTTTTGAGCTGCTGTCTTGCTCTGTCTCCTAGGCTAGAGTTCAGTGGTGCAATCTCTTCTCACTGCAACCTCTACCTCCTGGGTTCCAGCAACTCTCCTGCCTCAGCTTCCCGAGTAGCTGGGATTACAAGTGCCCACCACCACGACGAACTAATTTTTGTATTTTTAGTAGAACTGAGGTTTCAACATGTTGGCCAGGCTGGTCTCAAACTCCTGACCTTAAGTGATCTGCTGGCCTTGACCTCCCAAAGTGCTGGGATTACAGGCATGAGCCACTGCGCCCAGCTTTCTTTTTATCTTTAAAAAATTGTTTATTTTTATTAAAAATGTATATATGTAAAGTATACAATGTGATGTTTTTGTTTCTGTTTTTGAGACCGAGTCTTGCTCTGTCGCCCAGGCTGGAGTGCAGTGGCGCAATCTCAGCCCACTGCAGCCTCTACCTCCTGGGTTCAAGCGATTCTCCTGCCTCAGCCTCCTGAGTAGCTGGGATTACAGGCGCACACCACCATGCCCAGCTAATTTTTGTATTTTTAGTAGAGGCGGGGTCTCACCATGTTTGGTCAGGCTGGTCTCGAACTCCTGATGTGATCCACCCACCTCGGCCTCCCAAAGTGCTGGGATTACAGGTGTGAGCCACCGCGCCTGGCAGCAATGTGATGTTTTAATACACGTATACATTGAGGACTGTTTACTACAGCCAGCCTAATACTTTTCTCCTTGTCTGTCTCACTTTCTTTCCTTAAAGGTACATATACACTTATATGCACTTATATGCACCTATATGCACCTATACACTTCTCTTTTTCTGATTTACGTCAGATGAATGACTGTGTAGCAGAGATCAAGGGTAACAAAAGTATTCCTTTAAATGCACAGACTGAATTCAAGGAAAAGACGTGCTTAGGAAGCTGTGCCTACACACGACAAAACTGAAAATATACTACCCCTTAACCACAGACAGTTGCTGAGTGCACTGAGTTTCAGAAGCCTTTAAAAAAGATT